>NC_000002.12:150216890-150519921 GCF_000001405.40 Homo sapiens
GAGATTTTAAAATTGTAACATATTCTCTGTGCTAGTTTTTTAAACAATTCTGATTCTACAAAAAAAATTTCATTGGGATCATTCCAAAACATATTTGTCAAGGTGGTCTGTCACTGTGAGGGTTTATTCTAACTTTTCACTTCAATTTAAAAAAATGATAAACCTTATTAACCATAGAGTGACTGGATTATATCAAGATCTATAGTGTAGTTCAAATGTTGCCTCCTCACCAAAGCCTTTCTTGACTTCCTCAAGTGGATGTAATATACTCTTTTTTTCTGAACTTCCTTGTCATTTTTTTAAATTTTCAGATAATCATTGATTTAGAAACAGTTAAGATATAACTGTAAGATATAATACAGAGATTCTGTGTACCCTTTACTCAGTTTACCTCAATAGTGACATCTTGCTTAGCTGTAGCATAACATTACAATCAAGAAGTTGACACTGAGACAATCCATCAACTTAAGATTTCACCAGTTTTGAAAGCATGCAATTATATATGTATGTGTGTAATTAGTTCTATGTAATTTTATTACATATGTAGATTCATGTGACTACCACAGTCAAGATACAGATAGTTTGTTCACAAGACTACATCATGCTATTGACAGCCACGTAGCTCCCTCCCTACCCCCATCCCCAGTCTCTAATCCCTGGCAGCCACTAACCTGCTTTCCATCTTCATAATTTTTATTGTTTCAAGAATGATATATAAACGTGTTATATAATATGTAACTTTTCCAGTTGGCTTTTTCACTCAGCATAATTCCCATGAGGTCTATCCAAGTTGTTGTGTGTGTCACTAGTTCATTCTTTTTTATTACTGAGTAGTATTCCATGGTGTGGATGTACCACAGTTTGTTTAACTGTATACCCATTGAAGGGCATTTGGATTGTTCTCAGGTTTTGGCTATTACAAATAAAGCTCTATGAAGATTTGTGTGTAAAAAAAAAATGTATGATATTCCCAAATCTACATCTTGGAAGAAACATGCTGATACAAATTTGTAGATATAAAGGAGTTATAAGCCACTGGTAAAATCAAATCCGTAAACTCCTAGGATGAGGGAGAACTCACAGATCATCCAGTTCATTCCTCACACACAGACATAATATGTTAATATTGTATACATTATTGTCATGTGTCTGCTTGAAAATTGTCACTTTTCCTTTTGACTCCCAAACTTGAAATGATTCTGTTTCAAGTCTCTCATCTACCTCCAATGAATCTGAAAAAAAAAAAAAAAAAGGGATTGCAATATTCCCCACCTGCAAAATAACCTTTGAAAGCAGTATGAAGAAAAGCAATCAGAAATGAGTTGGGCAAATTGGAATTCTGTAATAATTGTGGGTAGTGGAGAGTTCAAGTTAGGATATCAGATTGATTCCTAGTTTCTTAACTCCCTTGACTGGTGGTTTCCAAGGTTAGCTGGAGGTCTGGTTAAAAAGTCATCTCTGGCCCCACCCTCAGAGTCTGTGATTGAGTAGGTCTGGGTGGAGCCTGAGAACTTACAATTCTATCAAATGTCTAGGTGATGCCAGTGATATTAGGGTGGGGAATGAGGCACTTTGAGAACTTCTGCCATAGATCACTAGATAATTTATTTTAACTAGCTGAGCTTCAGCTTCCACATCTCCAAAAGGGAATGCCGTTACCTTTACAGTCTTACTATGAAGACAAATACCTTAGCACACAATTCCTCCTACATAGTAGATGCTGAAGAAAATGTTTATTTCCACCCCGTATCAACTTACAATGCTGAAATATTTGGGAACTCCTAAATAATCCATATACAATAAAAATATAAGTGGGGATAAGTTTGAATGTGTTATATGTTTGCTTGCTGTTTTTTGTTTGATCAGTGTGATTTGATTATTCCTAAAGTTTCCATTCTTCTAAAAAATAATCTTGATTGCTTTTTATTAATTTTTTCTATCCTTCACTATAAAAATCCAATATCAAACTCATGAAAAACAAGATCTCTATTTTAGGATCCTGAATATCCACTATCTACTAATAGGCTATAATTTTTTGATTTAAAGGTATCTTAGAGATTATCTAGCCAAAACTGCCCATTTTATAGATGAGAAAACTTACCCAAGGTCATAACGCCATGTAGTAGTGACTAGACCTCAGGTCACTCAGGCCACTAGGCTTGACCTGAGTGACCTGAATCTGGTCACTTCCTGAAAAGGACTTCGCAACATTTTTGTTTATTATTGAACAATATTTCTATTAAATAATAAGTTGGCAGGAAGGGGAAGCAGGCAGGATCAGGGCCTGGCCTCAGTGTGCCTGAGTCCCAGTGATTATGTCTGGCTTCTGTAGGAGCCTGCCCCATGGGAGGTGGAGCCGGCAGCTTTAATCACTAGAGGTGTTGGGTTAGAGTTGGGTAGGGGGCCCAACCTGGTACTAGGGGATGACTGGGAGAGCATTAGAGGACCTGGATGTGGGACAACATTCACTTCCACCAGGGCAGGGGGCCTTGGTTGGCCTCCTGGGGCAGGTGCTTGGGTGAAGACTCCTCTTTGGACTCCTGCATCACCACATCTTCTGCAGGTGCCTGTTTGGCCTCTTGTCAACCATTCTGCCTTCCCTCCAGGCTTCAGGAAATGATGCTCTAGTATCCACTGTCTAGAGTGCACAGCCCCCAGCAGTGGGAGCAGATGGGGGAGGTGGCGGGCAGCAGGGCCATCTCCACTGGCTCAAATCAGCAATCTCTTCTTAACTTCAGGAAAAAGAATACTGTTGCTTATCCTTGCCTTTATTACTTTAACTTTGGGGAAGAAAGTACAGTGTCTCTTTAATAAATAATACTGTGAATTTTTCTGCAAACACTTTTGCTGTAGAAAAAACTGTGTTCTTGTCACACAACCAGGAAAGATTAGGCTTGCACACACTTTGAAGGGTGAGGGGGAATGGAATTAATTGAGCGAAAAGGAAAAAAACTCAGCAAAGCAAGAGGGGTTCCAGTTAGCAGGCCCCCATCTCACAGATTGAACCCCAGGTCACCACCCAAGAACAGGAGAGACCAGGCTCCTCCCCTCTGCAAATGGTGTGAACTTCCTGAGGCCCCACCCCGTCCTCCCAGTGTGCAGGTGGGCACTATTCAGAAAGAATCAGTCGGGAAAGGGCAGGCTTCATCTGGAAGGGGCAGTCCAGTTTTTCAGCCTTCAGGCTGTTTTAGGCTTGAAGTAGGGGGTTTTGCAAGGGAGGGGGACCCTTGGCTGCCTCCTGTCTCTATCTCTTCTACTTTGATGGTATAAAGCTGTCTTTGAAGTAAAGATTCTTCTAAGGACTGGAGATTTCAGGGATTCCCAGCAGCACTCCTGTGATAAGTTTTCTCATAAAACACCCACCTTGTTATCTTGTCTCTTCTTGTACCTCTGGTGATTACCAGTTATTACGGCACAGAAAGAAAATGGGAGATAGGAATCTCAGATATCAGTAGGTGGGAAATATCCTTTAATGTTTTTACTCGCCCATTTTCTGGGTTGTTATTTAAACTATTTTAATCTGTAATTAAAGCCATCCATGAATATAGCAAGGTTCAGTCTGGAAATGATCCCTACTACCATCGATGTCCCTAAGGTTCTTGGCATCTGGGGGAGGATATAATAAAACAAATGGGAAGAAAAACAAAAGACTATTTAATAGTGATAGTCTATGCTGGTGATTTTGAACCACTGAGATTCCCAAACTGAGTAAGAGAAAAAAACTAAAGGGACTGTTACGCACTGAATATTTATGCCTCCTCTCTCCAAATTCATATGGTGAAATCCTAACTCCTAATGTGATGGTACTTGGAGATGGGGCCTTTGGGAGATAATTAGGGTTAGATTAGGCAATGAGGCTGGGACCCTTGTGCTGTGATTAATGCCCTTATAAAGAGGAGGTGACATGGAAATCCCTCTCTGCTCTCTAACATCTGAGAATACAGTGAGAAGATGGCCATCTGCAAACCAAAAAAAGGACCTTTGCCAGATGCCAGGTCTGTCAATACCTTGGCCTTGGACTTGCCATCTTCCCCAAACTGTGTCAAACAATCGTTGTTGTTTATATCATCCAGTATACATTTTTGTTATAGTAACTGACACTGACTAAGACAGCAACTGAAGTTAAGAAGCTTGGAGAAAATAAGTCTGAAAACTCACTTTTTTTCACACTAACTGCAGAGGAAACATAGGAAAAAAATTGTATATATTGCAAGATGAAAGGTATATTTAGCTATACAGAAGAGCCTTATAAAAGCAAAGAAATTGTTATAAAAGTCATGAGAAAGTTGCTCTTGACAGAGGAAAGAGCCTGTGGAAGTACACACACAGGAGAGACGGGGCCTCTTAGGTGTCACCACATTCCATTTCTTATCCTGGATGGGTTTGGGTGTTTGTCTTAGAACTATTGGTAAATGATACAAGTGCTTTTATGTACTTTTCTGTATGTATATTTCCTAATATTTTTAGAGCCTTGTAACAGAGATTAAATGTCTGTTAGATGTTTGGAATTTCTGTCGGAAATCTTGAAGAATTTGATTGGAGTATGTTATTAGTAATACAGATAAAATAATATTTCCTGCAATAGCATATTGCTGCCATTTGTATGGCCCTTGATTTCTCACGTTGCTTTTTCCCGAAAGGCTGAATTTATTAGGTGCTCTTTTTAATATCTTACCATTATCATTTATTAGATTTTAGTCATTTATTATGTGCCTAGGTTTTCAGGAACAACAATAAGAAGTAAACCAAAAGTGTTTACTGATTTTATTTTGAAAATAAAATAATGAAAAGTGACACTTAGGCTAAAAAGAAGTTTTAAAATTTAGGTTTACACCAACTGAAAAACATGAAGAAGAAAAGGAAGGAAGAAAGAGATGGTAGAAAGAAAGGAAAGATGAATGGAAAAGAAAAACTACTACTTGTGGAATGCTCAGTGTATGCTAGATGTCTTCATTGGTAGCATTGCATTTACTTCTCAAGGATCAGGAGAGGCCATTTCCTTTTTACAAAGGGGAAAAAAAAACTCCAAGAGGAGAATTTCTTGTACCCCTTCAGTTCGGTGGCATGCAATCTCTAATGTTAGCATTTATTAGGAAGGGGGAAAAAGGCGATGGAGTCCAGGTCTGGTGGTATTGACAACCTTCCAATTAAAGTGGCCTTTGAAGAAGTTTCAGTTGCTTCCTGTCATTTCATTAGAGACAAGGATTGGGAACTCCATAAGGTTTCCACACTTGCACTTTTAAAACCAAAGGGGCTTACATTAATACAATACATGTGAATAGATCTTTTCTTCAAAATCTGACATGTCACCTGGCTCCACAGAGAAGACAAACTCACACCTTATTGGGGGATGGTGGAATAGACTTTTGAAATTAGGAGAAATTGTATGATGTGTCATTAAATGCAATTTCTTTTTAAGAATTCTCTCATTGGTAATTATTCTTATTATGTAGGTGGACAGTCTCTTAATATAGATAAAGACCTTTGCAGCTGCTCTCATCGTCGGCCTCATGTTTAATATGCACTTTGTAATTAGTGTGGATGTAAAGCCCCACATTTGCAGTCAGCCTCCCTTTCTGTCAGATCGGTTTTTAATCTGGGCTATGTTCAGCTGCGAAAGGCTGATAAGCATTTCTGAAATCTCTGTACATGACAAACAGCACTTTAATCTCGTCTTTCAATTTCCAGTGCACTCATTACACAAATTCAGCTCAAAGAACCTTGATGCATGAAAATTAGCCTTCCTGGATGTGGTACAATTTCTTTTAACCTTTTCTAAAATACTCTGATCCTCCAGGCCATTCGGCCCAGGAAAATGTAGGCAGTGGCTTACTTGTAAAATGGGGAAAATGTATCCCCAAGGCCCATGAATGCTAAAGTTGAGCTAAATGTGAGCTATTTGTTTTAATTGAGGATGCGGGAAATGATTTCTTCAATTTTAACCTAATTTTCAGAGAATAAACATCATTACATAGAGATAAATTATATTTCCACGTAATACTTTCATATAAGGAACTGTCAACTAGCCCAGCTGCCTGATGGAGCTTGCTCATTTAAACCCCAAGCCAATTAGCACCAATTTTCAATCAGTTATGTAAGTATTAACCTGTTCCTCTCTGTATGTAATCTGTCAGTGAGCTGGCTTGGAGGAGATGAAATTCTTAAAGTGTCAAATTTCTTTCCTTAATATGTGCTTAGGTCTTTATTTGCGTTACACCCTAAGCTCTGATTTCAAGCTTTCAAAGATAAAAATGTGTGAAATAGCTGCTATGCCTTGCTAGTCTCTAGAGATGGGTGGGGACTGGGGAGGGATATGTATGACCTGCTGAAAGATTCTCCAGTGGAAAAACTGAGCCTATCCTACAGGGAAGCAGGAATCAATTTTATCTTTCATTTGGCCGCACGTCCCACGTAATATTCCTTGAACCCAAATCACGTTGAATTGAGGACAAAAGATTCCTAATATATTTAACCCTGTTGGGATTGTTAAAAATAAAAAGAGCATCTGAAATTATCAGGCAAAAAAGACAGATTATTGTATGTAAATAAACGCTTTAATAGAAGCTATAAACGTTTTTGGTGAGAAAGTTTTCGGAAATGACTGAAGGGCTTTTCTCTAAGTTTGAAGAGGAATAACTTGTCGCCCCACAAGCCCCTGCCTCACCCAAGCACAATACAAAGGCTACAGCTGAGCTCAGATCTTCAGGCCTTGGTTTAGAGATTTGCTTCCCCACATTTCGGCCATAACCTCTTCAACTATCCGTAGGCCAGGAGAAGTTTGGGAAAATAACCATGTTTTATGTTTAGGCAAGGTATTAAGCAAATCAAATTCAAGGTGTCGCATAAAGACAAAAGAATAATATTTATTCAATGACTTTTGTTGCCAGACCTTTCATTGAGATCGACCCAGGGGATCTGTAAAACCCTTAATGAAGAATACAGCTTCTTTAATAGGAAGAAATATCTGTTCTCCTGAATACAACACAGGGATTTAAGAATGAAAAATGGATAAAATGTGTGTATTCTCTTTATTTTTAGGAATACAGAGTCTGAGGCCTCACCATTTATTCACAAATAAGCCTAGTCTTCAGACTTTCTTGACGCAGAATTCTAAGCCTGGGACAACAGGCAAGGGCAGGAGAGAACTTTGGAGGAGGCTGGTTTGATGACACCACAGTAATTTTCTGTTTTCAAACCTTGTTGAGCTTTGTTCTTTTAGAGAACTGTCTTAAGGACTCCACCCAAAGGCAAGTTGTAAGAGACAGGTTTCCAGGGGGCTAGCTAAGTGAACAATTGCATTTAAATTACAATATCTGTCACATTTGTCTACCCGTGTATGCAGAACTCTAATAAGGGAGGGGAGTAGATTTCATTTCTATAATGTCACTGGAGGCAAACAATAGAATTTTTCACATGGTAGAATTTACTTTTTGTAATTGTAAAATTCTCTTTTAGTAATTCTAATGCTGGAGGCAACTGCTTAAGAAAAGGCCTGAGCTGCCTCCCAGAGTATATCACATCTCTGAGGACTCCCAACCTGAAAACAAGAAAGCAAGCACAAATTCCTGGGGATCCAGTCTTCTTCACCAAAGAACTTCCAATGATTTGGCACTGGCATTGGCATTATGCCAATTGTATGGACATGTCAGTCCACCATGTTTACCCCACAGTCCAGACCAAAGCCATCTGCTAAGGCTGCCTTACCAACCCGTCAGTAGGTCCACCCTTGAGGACTCCAAAATAAGCCAGAGGTCACTCAAGTGAGCACCCTAGACCGCGATAGTTTGTTGATGTGCTGTGAGAAGTGGCCTGTAGGTTCTGCTCTCAGGTGATGGATACCACTCCCATGTGGTGTGGTTAACAACTTACAGGTTGGACTATCATCTGTTTCATTCAGTCATCCATCTATTTAAGTAACATTGCTGAGTAGTATTCATATGTCTAGCACTGCCCTTCAGTGAGTGGAGAGTAGGGGGTGTATGCGTATGCAATGGTGTTTATCTCCATGTTAACTTCTTCCAAGGAAGATCTACTCAAAGCTCAAAAGGTCAAGGAAGAATTTGAAGAGTGATAGTGTCTCTAGAAAGACCACATCTTTCAGCCCTAGAACACTGTATCGTCTATCATTTTTGTACTTTATTTATTATGTCTCAGCTGTTTTTAATCTGCTTGGAAAAAGGTGATGAATCTTTTTCCAAGTAAATCCAGTGGAGCTCTCTCGGACTCTTCAAGCCACTTTCATGTGTTAATTTAACAATGCTGTACTGAAATAGAGATACACAGATGAAGAAGGCAGATGTCTGTCCCTCAAGGACCTCTGAGTTTAGGGAGATAAATGCAAACATAAGCATTTAATTATGATACAACCAACATGTATGTCCTAACACAGCATTTCTCAAAATGGATTCCATAGACTTTCCAGTCTTTTCCCTAAGGTGTGTGAATCAATCTGGGCCAGAGAGATCCAACTGTACTTAAATCTCAGTTCCACTGTTACTGGTGGAAGAGATCTGAGTTACCCTGAGTTACCCCAGTGTATCCTTTGAGGTCCATAGCAACTTCAGTCCTTGTCTCCTCAGAAGAAAGAATTTGACTGAGAGGCGTAAGGTAGAAAAAGAGACTGAGGCAAGTTTCTGAGGAGGAGTGGAAGTTTATTTAAAAAGGCTTTAGAAAAGGAAAGAAAGGAAAATTCATTGGGAACAGGTACCCGAAAGTCCAAGAGAGAGGAGAAGACAGCAAAAAAAAAAGGAGGTCTTTAAACTTGACCTTTGGATTTTATAGGTTCACCTCTTTCCCATGATTCTTCCCTTAGGGTGGGCTTCCTGCATGCACCGTGCTTTCCTTACCCTTTGGAAGTGAGCACACGCTGTGTGTTTAGGTAATTAAACCTATGCCCTTCTGAGGCTTTTTTTCATTCTTTTGGTGGTGTGTGCTCCCGGAACATCAGACTTCGCCATTTTGTCTCTTAATATGCATGCCCAAGAAGCTGCTTCTCCCTGGGGCCTGCATTCAATTAACGCTTTTAATGTTAAAAGGTGTGGACCATCAGGAGACAGTCCCTCCCTGGCTGCCAAATTATCATTTTTAGAGAGGCAATGCGATAATTGCCAAACCATCACCCAACATTTCTAGTGGGTAGGGGGAGCACTCTCTCCTGCCTGCTCATGCCTGTCTACCTCTAACACCACTACTCACTGCTCACAGCATTACAGGCAGCATACTTTAGTTCCTGAGTCTTAGTGTTCTCCTTGTAAAATAAGGACGCTACTTGCTACTTTTGTTGTGGAAATTAAATGGTAAGGCAACATGTAATGAATTGATGAATTACATTTCTTAGAGTGTGCAGAGTGCCTTATGTGTCTTACTTCAGCCATACAGTATTAGAATTGCCACTAGATATGGAACAAAAAAAGCACAGGTATATAAATGTGTTAAAATGTATGGGAGGCCATTGTTTTGGAGTAGCCTCCTGCACTACATCCTTACAGATCAGACAAAACCAGAATCTAGTCACTTGTGCTAAGTGCCAAGTAATCAAACTAAACTTTGAAACAGGCCAACTTCCCAAAAACAAGAGATTCGCAGTAACTAATCAGATGGGTCCTAGTTTTCCTGAGACAGTATGACAAGGAAGTTCTATTTCAACCCATTCCTTTATTTTAATGCCATAAGAAAAGTAACTTTGAAATGACCAATCCCTGTCCCTTGTTGCTGCTTCCTTCAGCCCTTTTCTGCCTATAAAACTTCCTCTGCTCAGCTCATTGGAGTATTCATTCGATTTTATGGAATAAGGTATTGCCCAATTTCAGAATCACAAATAAAATTAACTTCTTAAACAAAATTTGTTATAATTTTGTCTTTTGACAAAAGTAAATACACTGATAGCTTACTTATGACAAAAGAGAGAGAGAGCTACTGTATACCACTGACAGAATACACCTATTATTAATTTATTCTCCTCTTTTCTTAAAAATGCCAACTTCCTGCTTAGGGATTCTTTCCATACCAATCCAAATTCAACACATTTCCCTCTAAATTTAAACAGTTCAAGCTGGAACTGTTTTCCAAGCCCTTGGATGAATGACCCAAACTTCTGTTTTCAACAGAAGACTGCTTTTAAAAGTAAACATTGAATTGAGACTATCTCTCCATTAGTACAAGTTTTAATAAAAATGTAAAGTGGTTTGATTTCAGATATTTTGCATCTGCTTTGGAGGCAAAGATTTGAATTTCATGATAAAATAAAAAAGATTTTGACATTTCATGATAAATATCAGCTCTTTTCAAATATATTATTCTGTCCTGGAATAATGGCATTTCATTCAACATCATTTCCTTATAACATTGATGAGAAAAGAAATCCATTGCCAGCTGCGACCACTCCCTGTGGAGTTTGCACATTCTCCATATGTCTGCGTGGGCTTTCTCCAGGTAGTCCAGTCTCCCCCGTATCCCACAGATGTGCACCGTAAGTGAATTGGCATGTCTCCATGAAAGCAGACTGATTGAGTGTGGGCGTGAGTGTCAATGTGCCCTGCAATGGGATAGTGTCCTGTCCGGGGCTGGTTCCCGCTTGGAGCCCTAAACTGCTGAGATAGGTTCTGGCTACCTGTGATCCTAAACTAGAATAAGCAGGTCAATAATTATCATTCTTGCTTTTATTAATTGTTCTTAGTCCTTAAATATTTGTATAGCCCACATTTATTTCAGTGGTTAATCTGAGAAGTGTTTGGGGTCTTTATGAAGTGTGGTGATGTTTTCGTGATCAGAAATATGCCATAGAAGCTCAACTCTTGTTTATATCAATTTGCCTGTGGTCGAATTGGTTTTGTTCTAAGTTGTTTTGCTTACAGTCAGTTTCGTAGAAGCTATGGACAACACTGAGTGAGGACTTGCTGTGATATAAACAGGTTGCCTTTGAAGAACAAGTAAAGGAAAAGGAAAGGAAAATCAAATTGGAGCATAATTCTGACTCTTGAGGTTGGCCCTAAGTTCAGATACACCTGTCAGGTAACCAGGGGAGGTATGGCTACTCTACCAAAAGAGCCGTACTGCTGCCAACATTCAGCTCTAGAATATATGGGCACCACTTTTCAAGAGCAATAAACAGTACATAAAAATACCACACATACATATCATTTCAATGCCTGGTGGATGCTTCGGTGTGCAGAACAGAAAAAGCAGGAGGTTGTATTAAATTAAAATTAACTTGAATTAAACAAATATTCCATATTTCCTCAATCCTAACATGCCCTTGATTTTAAAACATGCTAAATATTTGGTGGCAGCATTTCTTGGAAAAAACATACATTTCAACATGAATATAAACAGAGTATTTCTAGTAACAAATCTAACATAGATTTCTCCACACAATTGCATGCCACTTTAATCTTTACTATTACAATTAACCTTGATCCCAATATTTCTTCACCTTCAGGGTCTGTGTTTCTAAGTCACTTTTCACTATTGGCAGCCCTGGTTAGCATCATGCAGCAACTAAATACTATGCTGAATGAGCCTTGGAAAATCTGTACCCTTCCCTGAGATTTGAATGCATAATCAGAGGCTCTTGCCCAGATGTTTCAGTACCATAGCCCCAACTACTTCATTCCCATTTATTTTCAACCTTAGTTTATTCTCTACTTCTCTGCCATGTAAAGAGTTTAGCTCTTAATTGGGTAGTATCTTGTAGAGTTCTTAATGTTTTCATGAGATAACACATATAAAAATGCTTTCAAAACTCTAAAATGCTTTATAATATCCATTCTTCTTATTTAAATGTGTACTCTTCTCCATCACCCTCTCATCCTCCAAATTGAATTCTGCCTCAGAGCAGACTGTTGCCTGCCTACTTTATGTCCTGCATAGCATTAGAAGACCTCTAGTCCACTTAACATGGGCTTGGCATATATTTTGTTACTAAAGCAAAGGGCTTAACAGTAAACTGATTAACAGGTTGGCATTTTTATTTTAAAAGTGGGTGGTGTAAATGTGCGGGGGAATTAGCTCTGGCAGCTTAGTTGCTTGTTCCCACACCCGATTTGACTTAGTTTATCCATATAAAAGAGAAGAAGAAATATAAAATAACCACCATTTCAGGATTGTGAGGATTTGTTCAAATCATCAGGCATAACACATCCTAGCTTGGCTCTGCAATCTGTGTGGGCTTTGCTGTGGCACTCACATAAGAGAACCATATGAGTTTATTCTGCAAAATCTTTATAAGATAGAGTCCTCACCCACATTTCCTGTGAGTGTTTCTGTTTTCTGTCTCTTGCTTGCAATTAAAAACTGATTCTTAGAAAATTGCAGGATTAGTCAGCAGTATTGACAGAAGGAAAAGATAAACACTGAAAGAAAAACCTACAAGAGACGTGTCTCAACATAATGGGGATAAATTGCTCCAATTTTATCTCTGAAAACTGGTTCAAGAAACATTGGAAATCCATCCTTCACCTTCTAAAATTCTTTGATTCTCCTGGAAACAATAAACACCTTGAAAAGTCTGTCTTCAGTTCAACAGTTCCATAGGAGAAGCTGTCTAGTTTTTAAAAGAAAAAAAGAAAGAAAGAAAATATATATTCTCCATCCCTATAAAACAACCACAGATAATTTTATGTTTATGTTTCATAAGGGACTGAACAAGTTTAAGCAAAGCATGACTCTTTCTGTTTACTGCCACTATTTTCCTACAGTCATCTTTGATAGGTTGTAGGTATTTTCATATGAATCCTCTCCGAGTATCAAATGTGTTTTTGTAATTTATCTTGAGCAATAATAGTGGATCTTATAGCTATAGGCTATATTGCCTGACATCAGTACCCGTAAGTGACAAAATACAAATAAAAAACATTTTGCACAATGCATATGCTTTGAAAAGAGTGAGAGTGGAAAGGGCAAAGGCAATGTGCCCGATAGGAGAATGTTGTCAACTACCAGTCAATTGTGCACATTGTTAAATTGAGTTGGCAACTACTGGATTCAACATCTGTTAAATCTGTTAATAGTATGAGTTGTTTCATTTTACTTATTCATATATTTAGTTCACGTTCATTTATTATGTAGGTAGTTATATCATCTAAAAATCTTACTTAATATGTTAGAACATTTTAATATTTGTTCCTAAAGATTGCTCTAATTTAAAACCATTTCTGTCTAGCTCTGTCTTGAGCAACACTAAAAAAATAAAAACAAAACAAAGGCTAATTACCTTTCTTTGGTTTAGTGAAGCCTCATGAACTTTATTCAGGTACAAAAGATAGAACAGCAGAGGTAAAATCCCTGTGTGAATGATGATTAAGTCAAGCAATACATTACCAAATATTTACTGAGTACATACTGTATGCTGGGCACTAGTTAAGATTTCAGGAAACAAAACAAAGTCTCTGCTCCCAAGAATCTTGTTTCGTGTATGAGACAGCCAATGAAAAAATAAAATAAAACAAAAACATTTAAAAGAGTACCCTGTAGTAATATTAAGTGCTACAAATAAGTTAATAAGAAAGGGAAAAAAATGGCTGTAGAAGGGAAGGTTTATAGTTCTTGTTTAGCTACACTGGCCTGGGAAAGCTTCTCTTGAGAAGGTATCATTTAAGCTGCATTTTGAATATGGAGAAGGAGCAGTCATATGCTGGGAAGTCAATATTCCAACTAGTGTGTCTGAGAGTAACAAACAGGGGGAAGGGTACAGGGAGATGGCTTTGAGAGGTAACAAGTGCCAGATCATGTACGATGTGGGTAGATCACAGGCAAAAAAAAAAAAAAAATTAATTACTCAACTATAGTGAGATGGAAAAACTGTGGTGGGGGAGACAATTAGAGAAGGCCAGTCTAGAGATGAGATATTTGACTCTTGTAGAGTTCAAATTCAAAACCAGTACTGCAGGCAGAACAACTTATACTGATGCATTGGATGTGAATTGGAAAGTGACAAATAAAATTGGAATTTTGACCCTAACAGCTAGATGGATAACATTACTGTTTATATAAATGTTGAAAACTTGGTAAGAAGAAGATTCTGGGGCTTGTATATGTGTGTGTGTTTGGCAAGGGGATCAACAGTTATTTTTTGGCCATGTTAAGTTTGTAGTGACTACTAGACCTCCAACCAGAGATGTGAAAAAAGCAATTAAATGAGTACAGAGTACAGCAAGGAAGCTAGATTTAGAAAATAACATTTAAAAGTTACCATGATGGAATTCATTTTCAAAGTCAAGAGACTAGATAAATCACTTGGAGAGTGAATGTAGTCAGAGGAGATGGCCGGAGAGATACCTAAAGGACATCAATGTTTCAACAGTTGGAAAAGACCCTGAATTGAAGGAAGCAAAAGCTTCCTCTAAGCCTAGAGAAGAACTTATCTAGAAGAAAAGAATCAAGAGCCACTAGGAAATCAGGTAAAAGGAAGACAAAAAAAAAATTAACCACTATCTTTGCAAAGATGTGTGTCACTGGAAATCTTAACACATTGAGCCATATCACTGGATGAAATGGGAATGTAAGCTTGATATGAATTGGTTAAGGAGAAAATAGGAGGTAAATAACTGAAAACAGCAAATACATGCAGAACCTCTCTCAAGGGTCTTGCTATGGAGGGAAGTAGAGAAATGTGGCAATAAAAGGATTTGGAGTCAACACCATTTACTGTTTATTTTAAGATCAGTGATATTGCACTCATGGTGGTGGGAATGATAAAAAGGTAAATAGGGAGAAAGTAACGATACCAAAGAGAAAAGGAAATTCTGCTGGATGAAAGCCACAGAGCAGTTATGAGGGCAAAGGAAGCAGGGCACAAGCGGAGGATTTGTCATAGATAAGAACAAGGCCAACTCATCTGCTGTCCCAGTAGGAAAGAAAGGCAGACTCGATGGGTGTAGGTGCAGGTAAACTGGTAGAATTGGTGGTAGCTCAATAACAAATTGTAATGGTGTTCTCTTTTAAATATGGCCATCAATTAAGTCTTTGGAAGTAATTGCTAGCTATAGATGAATGATCTTCATTGAAGGTGCAGTATAGCAGCTTTATAGTTGTTAAGAGAATGATAAAGGCAATAATCTATTCTCTGTGATATATATATATAGTTATATATAATTTATTATTTATTAAATTTATTTTTATTAAATTATTCATTAAATTTATATTAAATTGTAGTTATATATAACTATAATTTATATATACTATATAAACATACATATTTATATATGTAGTTATATGTGTGTATATATATATACATAGAACTACAATTTAATGTTTCCTATTGAAATTGTCTCTGTTAAATACACAGGTAGAAAAAAAGCAATTTTATAATAGAAAGTAAAGAAAGCGAATTTATCTGCTTGAAATATATACGAAAATGACACCAAACAATATTGATTTTAACACGAACCTCCTTTATTGTCAGCAGACACATGTTCAAGGCTTCCACATTTTAATTTTTTTTTAATAGGGCAATTGTCAATTTGAATTACTCCATCCTGCTTTGCATAATAATTTACATGTTTATCCACCAAGAATGCTCTGATAAAGGACAATATCCCACGAGAGATGAAAAGGCTTGATTCTTGAATCACACTTTTGCATCCTTGAATAGCAAACCCCCTTTTCCAGCAGCAAAATTGTAGCATTGAGAAAGACAATGGACCCAGTCAGTGGTTTGTAGTTAATTTTTTACTATGAAATTCCATTATACAAAATTGCTTGGAGCAATTTTAGCCTACATCACCCCAGTTAAAACACATTTTTTGTTTTTTAACCATGAAGAATAATTCTTACCTAAAAGGGGGTGATCACAAGGAAGCTTTTATGAGCTCCCAACAAGAAAAGCCAAGCCACTTTCGAAGACAAAAAAAACTTGTTTGTTCACAGTTTTTATTTAACACACCTAGTAATTTTAATATTTACTGATATCCTTTACTTATCAAATAAAGATTTTGGTCTTTAGAGCTTAATGCTCTGCTGAGAGTTGCTGAGGGTTATTAGAGTTCTCTGAGATTTTATTTTTATCTCAGACATAAAGTTGTCTGGGTACATCCTAAAAATACCATACCTCTCTTGATTTTTTCCTGCTTCTCTGTTAGTGAGGCATGGCCTGAGGCTAGGATAAACTCCCATTTAAACTACTTTATAATATGCCTCCCTGGTGTGCAGCTTCTCTGTGTTGCTTTCTCAATTTCTCCAAGCATAGCACATCAGAAAAGACCACATAAAACCCTGGGAAGATGATCACATGTGGGTTAGAGATTGTTGGCATCCAAAACTTAGGCATGAGACTAGGAGTTGGAAATGCTTAAGGATTCCCATGACACTAGTGAAAATCCACTGTTAATACCTGCATTAATGGTTGAATGTCAACTCCAGTGGCCTTACTGTGGCTCCCACTAAGAACTGTCCGCATTGGCATCACCTTCCACTGCTCATCCTTCCTTCCTGTCTACCTGCCTTTTTGCCCAGCCACAAGATGGTCACTTAGTTTGGATTCTCACAGGGTTCAGTTATCTTTTCCCAAGCCAAATGTTATTTCAGTGCTTTTAAAAGTATGTTTCATAGAGTGGTAATGTCTCATGGATGGGTCTCACAGTCACATCTGGGAAGTATTTTTTCAGCGTAACTGGGAACTCTCCAATCTGGTCTTTTCAAACAGAGATCATCTCCGTTCCTTTTTATTTTGTAATACAGATTGAGTATACCTTATCCAAAATGTTGGGATCAGTAATGTTTCAAAAGTTTTTTTATTTTGGAATATTTGCATTATTCTTACTGGTTAAGCAACCCTAATCCAAAACCCCAAATCTAAAATGCTCCAATATGCAATTTTTTCGAGCATGATGTCAGTGCTCAAAAGGTTTCAGATTGTGGAGCATTTTAAATTTCACATTTTTGTATTAGGGATACTCAACTTGTATTAGGGTTCTGCCTTATACTTTCTTTTGAGAAAGTGATCTGTTTTGAAAAAAAGAAAAGTTGGAAAATTACAGAAATGATCCATACTAATGGAAGTGGAGGCATTAGTCTGTGAATCCTCCTAGGTTGAATTTTAACAACGATATTCTGGAGGTAAAACCTTGTGGGACTAAGAAAGTGTGAAAGTGAAGGATGGACATTTATGGACAGTTCTTATGTGACCTCAAATCACATGGACAGCCAGCCTCTTCAACTTAGATGTGGAAGACAAGCATTGCCTCCATATTAGCAACAGGAAAACATTCTCTCTGGATATCTGCAAAAATATCTTAACATTATTTTTCTTTTTCCATTTCTTTGTGGCCTCATTTGCTTTTTGCAGTCTTTGGTGTAGTACAGTGCTAGGGGTAGAAATGGAAATTTGTATTTTCCTGGAGAAAACATAAAACACAGTTAAATAAGGGCTGGTTTATAGTGTCTCACGATTCACCTAGTAAGTCACAAATAGAATGATGAATGGCTCTTCAGTCATGAACACCCACAGCATTAATCGAAAAAGATTATCATAACATATAAGGTCTCTTTTCTCCTCCTGCAATGTGGTAGAATTACAAGATTAGTTCTCTCTTATGGCAGAGAAGAGTTTCTGCTCCAGACCCAGTATTTTTAATTCATCTTGGGAACTAGTCTATGAACAAGCAACAGGATGCAGGGACTGAAAACACCTAGGTTCTATCATACATACAACTTTCAAGAATTCTTTTTGTATTTAATTAAACCAGATATTTTTGCCTTATAACATCTTGTTGATGGTAGGAGCTACTTATTTGTTTTGGGGTAGGGGTACTAGTGAACAGAAACAGTGAAGCGTGATTCTCCCCAGTTTACCCCCACCCCTCCATTTCAGGGTCAGCATAGTTCATTTTTCCATAAATCATTTTTTAAGCAAGATCCTCAGTCAAAATTCTGGCTTTTATATAGAAAAAAGAATTCTGATCCTTTGTGTCTCCGTAATCAGCTAAGCTCCTCAAGTCTCACTTTCAGTTAGCGTGAGTAAGAACAGAAGCCATTTGTTCTGACTTGGCTAATAACCACGTCTCAAGAAAGCTGGACCTTGCTGCCTGATGGTGCTGCAAGGAAATAAATGTTTTTCTCTGATGGAGCACTCACACAGTCGGGTTTGTGTTGTAAAACGGAGGAAATTATCCAACGGCTGTAATTACAGTGACTCATTGACACAAATGCTGAGAGGCAGATGTGGCATAAATAATGAGAGAACACAAAGAAGACTCTTCATTATCAAATCCAGCCTTCACATCTTCATCATCTTCAACCATGAGAATCCCTCTTTCCCCCAAGGCTCTTTGATTATTCTTCCACCTGGAGAACTGGGTGGTGGATATCAGACTGACCTATGAGAGTAACGCAAAATGCAAATGTGAGCCATCCTCTAAGACTGCAAACTGTGTGCCATCAAATGAAAACTGCCATATGGATGGAATAAATAAGGCATATTTAGGGACTGTGCCAAAACCACAGAGCAAAAGAGAAACCCAAACCAAAGCATGACTCCAACAAAAGTCAGGCTGAGCCATGAGGAGACAGTAATAAACTGCAGTGAAATCAATTTCCTCAGCAGCATAGATGGTAGCTAGCACAGGAGGACAGAGCTGTTTTGAAGTCAGACACACCTGGATGACTTTAGAGAGTCACTGATGCTCTCTCAGCCTCAATTATCTCCGTTATAAAATGGGGGACTTGTTTTAGGGAACAGAGAACTAACTCTTACAAAGCTGTGAGAATTAAGAGGTAATAAACATGAGCATAAGGCCAGGTGTGGTGGCTCATGCCTGGAATCCCAGCACTTTGGGAGGCCAAGGATCATTTGAGTCCAGGAATTGAGACCAGCCTGAGCAACCTGCAGAAACCTCATCTTTACAAAAAATACAAAAATTAGCCAGGCAGGGTGGTGCATGACTGAAATCCTAGCTACTTGGGAGGCTGAGGTTGGAGGATCACTTGAGCTCAGGAGATTTAGGCTGTGGTGAGCCATTATTGCGCTACCACACTCCAGCCTTGGTGACAGAGCAAGACTCTGTCCCCGTCCCCCACCCCAAAAAAAACCACAACCATGAGTGTAAAAGGTGAGCATGACTCTAGGGATATATCCTCAAGAAATGGTAGTATTTGTTTCGATTTTCTAATAAGAATGGGGTCTGGATATGCGTTGAGAAGTGCTCAGAACAAAGCACTCACTCGCTCACTTGCTCTCCTTCCCCTCCCCAAACTTCTTGTCCTCTCCTCCCACCGGCAGATATGCCATCCGTATGATAGGAAGTTGAATCCCCATTGAGTGTATTGACAGAGCTAGTTAAAATAATGGATGTTTAGAAGGGAGAACAACATGAAATTAGTTATCATCCACTTAAATACTTATATAATTTATTCAAGTTTACCTTGGAATCAGATACTTAGAGAGGAAACTCAGCGTAGTCTTAAAGAGCATGGACTTGGGAGACTGCCTGTGTTCATATCCCACCTCCCACTTGCTACTTTGTGACCTTGGGCACTTAAATCTGTTTGTATTCCAGTTTTCTTTTCGTAAAGTGGGGAAAGTTATCCATATAATGCTATGAGAGTTACAAGAGTTAATTTTGGTAAAGTGCTTGGGATATTTATCACCTGGCAATTAGTAGGTGCTACTTAAGTGTTTATTAAATAAATAAACACTAATAGATAGGTATGGTGTGGTGGGATATAAAGGATAACTAGTAAAAATTACATTTTTATCTTTTTATTCAGGTTTTTACCAGAAATTTGAAAAATATAAAATTTTAATTAAAGGTCCCGACAGTGATAACAAATACTTAGTTTAACGTTATACCTTTTAGAAGAAAACAAATGGTAAGCCTTGTCTGCAATGATATGAAAAGAGAAAGACATATCTTACAATTTCTACATCATGAGCACTGTATTGACTAAAGCCTGAGTGGTAGTCATATACACTATGAAGGTTCCTTTTTTTTTTGAGATGGAGTCTTGCTCTGTCACCCAGGCTGGAGTGCAGTGGCATGATCTCGGCTCGCTGCAACCTCCACCTCTGCCTCTGCCTCCTGGGTTCAAGCAATTCTCCTGCCTCAGCCTCCCAAGTAGCTGACATTACAGGTGTGCACCACCACGCCTGGCTAATTTTTGTATTCTGAGTAGAGACGTGGTTTCACCATGATGATCAGGCTGGTCTTGAACTCCTGACCTTGTGATCCACCCACCTCGGCCTCCCAAAGTGCAAAGTGCTGGGATTACAGGCGTGAGCCACCATGACCAGTCCAGTTTCTACTTTTTGTCTTTGTTTTTGCATCTTATAGTATTCCAAAATGTCAATTTATAATGGTGATACCTGTAACAACTACTTTATTTCTTTATATTTTTATGACATGAATGAGGACATTTAATTAATTATGTATTTTTTCTATTTACAGATTTTTTATTAAGTTGAATACCATAAAAATCCAGCATTAGCGCTAAAATATCAATGTTAATTATATTGCTGCTAATACTAGTTAGTAGTAACACTGTTAGTACTGCTGATAAGAATGACAACAGAGCACCTGAGCTAGTCCAGTGAATTGTGCATTTTTAAGCCAACATCTCATTTGCGATTTCTGCCTTTTTTCACTAAAGTAAATGTATTTTTTATGACCATAGAGTAGCAATCTGTATTTTTAGTTCCAATAGAAGTTCGACATTCCAAGACTGTCACACACTCTGTATTTGTGTTTTTCACCCACTTCACATTTATTGCAAATTATTCATTCATTCATTTATTCATTCATTCATCCGATACTGATAATCTATGAGATGCTAGAATCTTTTCTTAGAACTTAGATACTAAAGTGAGGAATTTTCAGAATTGTTTTCACTAATGTTCACTACGGTTAGTAGCTTTTACATATTTTGGAATCTGGAGAACAATGAGTGGATAAAATTCATAGCCTTGAACAGTCATTTAAAAATTTGGAAACATTCACCAATTAGTGGATTTCTCTTTGTAGTATAAGTATACCATGGTGGAAGCATTTCCCCTCTGGGAACAAGGAAATCCAGACCCAAAAGAGATTAAAGTTTTAGGTACAGGACACACCAGTCCCTCACATGGGTACCATGGGAATGATGATAAACAAGGCTGCTTATACTTTTACTCCTAGGTTCCCAAGCCCATATTTTCTATCTATTAGGGGCACAGTACCATAAAATGGTCATTGATTTAGAGTGTATATGCTGTCCTGAAGGACACCAAACATTCAAGGTACATATTCTGGTTGGCACTCTAGGTGCATCTTCAAAAGGTGTTTTCATGCCATGTCAAGCTGGCAACTTCTGGGTGATGCAGGACCAGTGTGATAGGACCAGTGGATTCCATAGTCTTATGCCCATTTCTGTATTTCTTTTACTGTAGAATGGGTCCTTTGTTTTGAGGTAATATTATGAAGAAACCAGTGTCAGTGGATCAATCTCTAAGTGCCTGAGTAGAGGTGCTGAAAAAGATCCTGTGGGCATGAAAGGCAGATAAGTGTTAATCTCAGTGAAGATAAACTGCTGCCCTCCGTCAGAGTGGAAGGAGTTCAATGTAATGAACTTGCCACAAGTAGCTGATTGAACTTGATGGATGGTGCCATAATGGGGGTTCGGCATTGGTTCTTATTGTTGACAGGTTAGATAATAGGCAGAGGCAAAGGCTGGATGGTCCCTGGTCAGTGGGAACTCTTACTTTTGGCTTTATGTGTAGCTTCCATTCCTGCTACCCTGGCTACTACATTCACAAGCTTATTGTGCCAGGACAGGAGAGGCTAGCTGACATCAGGTCACTGGGCCATTTCATCTACTTACTGGTTCATGGCCCCTTATTTAACATGTGCTCTTTGATAAGTGTTAACATGTGATACCAAGGTATTTATACTCCATGCTCACACCTATAAATCCATCTGCAGGATTCTATCCCAGACCTCCTACTCTCTGAGCTTCTAACCTTCTTCCTTCCAGGACCTGGACTATGTAGCCATATATTTTCTTTACCTAAGGCCACTTCTGTTCTACACAAAGTGCATGACAATATCTACCACTGAAAACTATTTATTCTGAGGGTTTCTGCTTATTGCCACCTTTCAAGGCCCTCCCTGAGTAGGACTGTGGCTTAGGAAGAGTTCCTTTTCAGCTTTCACTCACTGGGCTGAACTATCTTTAAACCAAGCTCAACCATTTTCCTCCTTCATGAGCTACTCACATGGGACACTCAGCATGGCCATAGCATGACCTGAGGGTGAGGAGGTAGTGCAATGATGGTAGATGACCTGGAATTCTGTGGCACCTACTTATGCAGCTTACTTTGGACCTGCTCATGTCTACTCCTGAGTGAACCACTCTGTCTTACGATGAAGTGTGTCTGGCCCCACTTCTTATGACTTGGTGAATCTGGCAGAAGCCAAATCATGATATATAGTTCTGCCAGTGTGGCCATTTGATGCCCCATGACAAGATGCTACCAGGACCTGATTTTAAAATGGTGAATATTTCTGGGCTTTAGATGGCATGGCCTTGGTCCAGAGACTTAGGGATGCTTGCCATAAACCCTATACAGCATATCTTCCCACACAGACACCAGATGGGTCATAGGGAGCAAATGACAGGGCTGCTTGCATCACAGAAACAGAGCTCTTTCTGCATCTGGATCCCAATGAAATCTGCTAGTTTTCTATGTCACTCTGTAAATGGGTCACAGCAGCATTCCCAAGAGTGAATACAGTGCTGTTCCATTGTATTATGCCTTTTTATGTGTGTTATTGGGTGTTTCGAAATGTATTACTTTGTCCTTTACTTTGGAGGAAATATCCTACTATGTCCCAGACCACCAAACTCCTAAAATCTTCAGTGAATATTTGGAGGAATTACCTCTTACTGTCTAGAGCACCATGTATTTTACCAAGTCCTGCAGGAGCCTACAACTTCATGATCACGCTGGCTGATTAAAATTATATGGACCAATATGACCTTGTTCTGGTACCTCTAGACATGTGAATATAAACTACTTTTAATTCTTTTTGCTGATATGGGTGGAAAATGATGCATTCATCAGATCAATGGCCATTTACAGTGCCCTTGCCCTCTGTTTCAGCAAAGGTACCATACTTGTCACATCAGTTCCAATCAAGGCCACTACTTGTTTAAGTTTATAACCATCTATAAGTCATCTTCCAGTACCCTACTGTTGTTTTTTGTTGGTTTTTTTTTTTTTTTTTTTTTTTTTGGAGAGGCCAGAATACTGAATTATATGGGGACATGATGGTGACGATCAAGGTTATATCCTTTACATTTTTTTTTTTTTTTTTTTTGAGACGGAGTCTCGCTCCATCGCCCAGGCTGGAGTGCAGTGGCGCGATCTCGGCTCACTGCAAGCTCCGCCTCCCAGGTTCACGCCATTCTCCTGCCTCAGCCTCCCGAGTAGCTGGGACTACAGGCGCCCGCTACCACGCCCGGCTAATTTTTTGTATTTTTAGTAGAGACGGGGTTTCACCGTGTTAGCCAGGATGGTCTCGATCTCCTGACCTCGTGATCCGCCCGCCTCGGCCTCCCAAAGTGCTGGGATTACAGGCGTGAGCCACCGCGCCCGGCCATATCCTTTACATTTTTATGGGTGACACTAATTATTACCTAATGTTCCAGGGATATTGTATTATTTTGGATTTAATTATTTATTATTTTGGTTGAGATAGGGGCAATTATAGGGCCTCCACTTAGTCTTCCCGAGTTGTACCATTACAAGTATGTTGTTTCCAACTCTGCATTTTGGGACAAGAGAAGTGTTTAAAGTTATGTCCATGGATCCAGCAGATCCATCTCATTTTTATCTTATGACAGGATTCCATTTATTATCTGGCTACTGCAGGTCCCAACAGTAACAGTGGCCACAATAACACTTTGGGTTCCTCAGTATCAGTGCCGATTTGGACCTAGTATCCAACTATCCTCAAAATATTTTAGTATTTTTCTTACTCCAGTATGTGACTATCTGAGTACAGTAGTGGGGGATACATTGTAAGACCCCCAGTGGATGTCTGGAACTATGGATAGTACCAATGCCTATATATATAGATGCCCCTCAACTTACAGTACAATTACATCCCAGTAAATCCATTGTAAGTTGAAAATATTGTAAGTGAAAAATGCATTTAATACACCTAACCTACCAAACATCATAGGTTATTCTAGCATTAAACATTCTCAGAACACGTACATCAGCCTACAATTGGGCAAGATCATCTAACACAAAGCCTATTTTATAATAAAGTACTTAATATCTCATGTAATTTATTGACTATTGTACATTATGTCAACATTGTGATGGTTTAGCGCCACTGTACAGTCAAAAATCTCATGAATACTGTATGTCAAAATTGTGATGTTTGGCACCATTATAAATTCAAAAAATCATAAGTTGAAAGATCATTAGTCTGGATCATCTATACTATACTTTTTTTCTATACATAAATAACTATGATAAAGTTTAATTTATAAATAAGGTGAATTAAGAAATTAACAACAATAACTAATAATAAAATAGAACTATTATAACAATATGATATCATCACTACTCTTGTGCTTTGGGGCCATTATTGTGTAAAATAAGGGTTACTTAAACATAAGCACTGCCATACTGCAACAGTCTATCTAGTAACCAAGATGACTGCTAAGTGATTAATGGGCAGGTAATATAAGCAGAGTGAATACACTAGACAAAAAGATGATGCGCACTGGTTAGAATAGGGTGCAATTTAAAACTTATGAATTATTCACTTCTGGAATTTTCCATGTAATATTTTCAAATCTTGGTTAACCACAGGTAAATGAAACTGGAAATCAAAACTGCAGATAAGGGGTGACTACTGTAAATAGCTTTATAAGAACTGGGAAATCCTTTCAATCCATACTTGCCTTGGTATTGCAAAGCCTTTCTTCATCTATACTTAGCCTCTCCCTCAGTCAGTGGAATTTAAATATTATAATTGGTTCAGGCCTGGAAATTAAGCAAAGGATTTATGACTTTTTCTTGGGCTGGCTGGTCTCAGCCTTCTGATTATCCATTCTTGATTTCTTCTTATTACAACAAAGAATAAACAGTACCCTTGTTGGCCACTGATCTATTTTGCCCTTGGACTTCAATGTTCAATTAACCATCTCCATACTCTCTGTGGGTCAGGTCCCAAGACTGTCATTCTGACCTTGCTATTTATTTTGATAATTGTGATCACTTTCCTTCTGATGCTAAGGTGTCATCACCTGGCCTCAATTATTTGTGTTTCTGTCATCTCATTGCTGCTAGAGAGCCCAGCTCTGTAACAGCATCTCTTATTGTCAGCCCTGGACTATAGCCGTAGAGATAGCCATAATTGTGTTTCTAAAGCTGGTACCCCTTGCCACCAGTCTACCTTAAAGAAGAATGGGTCACTTCTACAAAACCTTGAAGTCTCAGAGAATTAAAATTTCAAGGTTCTAGAGTGCATCAACCTGAGATTTCCTCAACCCAAGTGACAGAGATAAAAAGAGTTGTGCTGCTTAATCTATCCTGTAAGACATTTTATTTATTTTCCTTACAACTTTTTGTTTTTAAAAACTTCTCAGTCTTCCTCAATTATGATTATTAGAATCCCCAACTAATGAAAGTTACAGTTTTATTCATAGTCTATAGGCTTCTGATTAGGTACCTATATTCGATGGAATATATTTAAAATTTAAATAGACTTTTTATTTTGAGATAATTGTAGATTCACATGTAGCTGTAAGAAATAATACAGAGGCCAGGTGCGGTGGCTCACGCCTGTAATCCCAGCTCTTTGGGAAGCCAAGACGGGCGGATCACGACGTCAGGAGATCGAGACCATCCTGGCTAACACGGTGAAACCCCGTCTCTACTAAAAGTACAAAAAATTAGCGGGGCGCGGTGGCAGGTGCCTGTAGTCCCAGCTATTCGGGAGGCTGAGGCAGGAGAATGGCCTGAACCCGGGAGGCGGAGCTTGCAGTGAGCCCAGATAGCGCTGCTGCAGTCCAGCCTGGGTGAAAGAGCGAGACTCCGTCTCAAAAAAAAAAAAAAAAAGAAAAAGAAATAATACAGAGAGATCCTGCATACCTTTTACTCAAGTTCGACCAGTGGTAACATTTTGCAAAACTATAAATTCAGTATCATAGCCACGATATTGATATTTATAAGCAAGATACATAACATTTCTGTCACCACAGGGATCGCTCATGTGGCCCTTTTGCAGCCACACCTACTTCTCTCTCACCTGCAGCTCCTCCTTAACCCCTGGAAACACTAATCTGTTCTCCATTTCTCTAACTTTATCATTTCAAGAATGTTATATAAATGGTATACAGAGATACCATTAGGTAAATATATACTCATCATAATTCTCTGAAGATTCATTCAGGTTGTTGTGTAAATCATTTGTCTGTTGCTTTTTAGTGCTGAGTATGATTCCATTTAACTGTTAACTCACTGCAGGACACCAGGTTGTTCCAGTTTGGGGCTACTGTGAATAAAGCTGTTATACACATTAACATGTGAGTTTTTGTGTGAACACAGATTTTCATTTATCTCATATTAATGTCCAGGAGAAAAAAATGTGGGTCATACTGTAGTTGCATGTTTAATTTTTAAAGAAATTATGACTTTTCAGGGCAGTTGTGCCATTTTACATTCCCAGAAGCAATGCATCAGTAACTCAGTTTCTCTGTGTCCTTGCTCGCATTTGGTTGAGTTTTTCAATCCATAAACATGGTACATCTCTTGATTTATTTAGATATTCTTTGATTTCTTTCATCAGAATTTTGTAGTTTTCATCATATAAGTCCTATATATGTTTGTTTTATTAGATTTGCACCTAAGTATTCCATTATTTTCTTGAGTGATTGCAAGTGGAAGCGTATTTTTAATTCGATTGCACCCACATGTTTACATCTAGTATTGAGAAATACAGATGAGTTTTGTATGTTTACCATGTGTCCTAAGACCTTGCTGATCAAACTTACTAGTTCTGGGAGGGGTGTGTGTATGTGTATGTGTGTACCATTAAGCATATGTCACCTGTAAGATGTTTGCAGATGTCTTTTATCAACTTTAGAAATTCTCCTCTACTCCTATTTTTCTGATAGATTTTATCTTGAATGGCTATTAAGTTTTATTAAATTTTTTCTGCATTGATTAATATAGTCATGTAATTTTTCTTCTTTAACCTATTGACATGGTAGATTACATTGATTGATTTTTAAATATTGAACCAGGCTTTAATTCCTAGAATAAATCTCATGTAGTCATGGTTTATAATTCTTTTTATATATTGCTGAATTCTATCTCTAATATTTTAAGAATTTTTGCATCTATATTTATTAGGGATATTAAATTGTCATTTCATTTGTTTGTTTCTTTCTTTAAACTGATTTTCTCTGATTTTTGGCAACAGGGTAATGATAACTTCATAAAATAAATTGTTGAAGTGATCACTCATCACACTTTATAAAAGACTTTGAGTTGAATTGGTGTTAATTTTTCTTTAAACAATTATGGGTATTTTCTGGTGAAATTATCTGGGCCTGCAGATTTCTTTTGGGGAGTTCTACAATTATGAATTCAATTACTTTAATAGTAAAGTTATATTTAAATTATCTCTTTTGGTTGGGCATGGTGGCTCATGCCTGTAATCCTAGCACTTTGGGAGGCCGAGGCAGGCAGATTGCCTGAGCTCAGGAGTTCGAGACCAACCTGGGCAACACAGTGAAACCCCATCTCTACTAAAAACACAAAAAATTAGCCAGATGTGGCCATGTGTGCCTGTAGTCCCAGCTGTCGGGAGGCTGAGGCAGGAGAATTGCTTCAACCCAGGAGGTGGAGGTTGCAGTGAGCCAAGATTGTGCCACTGCACTCCAGCCTGGGCAACAGAGTGAGACTTCGTCTCAAAAAGATATAGATATAGATATAGATATAGATATAGATATAGATATAGATATAGATATCTTTCCTGTTGGGTGAATTGCTGATAGTTTGTGTGTTTTTTGAAGGTTTAGTCCATTTTGTTGAAGTTGTCAAACATATGTGTATAGAGATGTTCACTGTTTTCCCCTATTATCCTTTTAATGTCTGGAGAGACTATAAGGATATTCCCTGTTTTATTTCTGGCATTGGTAATTTTTATCTTCTCTCTTTTATTCTTTGTCACTTTTCTTAGTTTGTTTTGCATTGCTGTAAAGGGATACCTAAGGCTAAGTAATTTATAAAGAAAAGAGGTTTATTTGGCTCATGGTTTTGCAGGCTGTACAAGAAGTAAAGCACCAGCATCTGCTTCTAGTGAGAGCCTCAGGGAGTTTTCCATTATGGCAAAAGAGGAAAGAAAGCAGGCATGTCACATGGTGAGAAAGGGAGCGAAAAGAAGAGAGGAGGAATGGCCATGCTCTTTGTAACAATCAGGTCTCATGTGAACTAATAGAGTGAGAACCCATTACCATAATCATTGCACCAACCCATTCAGGAGGGGTCTGCCCTCATGACTCACACATCTCCCACTAGGTCCCACCTCCAACCCTTGGGATTGAATTTCAACATGAGATTTGAAGGGCACAAATGTCCTAATTATATCATCAATCTTGCTACAAGTTTGTCAATTTTATTGAAAAACATTTCCAGGTTACTGACTTCTTCAGCTTCAATTTAAGGATACGTGAATCAGAAAGCATGCCTGGAGAACTTACTAATGTGTTGTTCCTTTGGTCTCAAGTTCCCCAGCAATTCTGCCTTGTCTCTACCTTTTGGAGTCTTCTTATGCTTGTTTCATATAAAATGTCCAGCGTTTTTAGCTGTATTTAGTGGAGAAATAGGAGAATTATGTTAATTTTATCTTCCTGCAAGCAGAAGCCAATAGAATAATTTTTATATGTATTAAACCTGTATCCCAAAGCAGGTATGAAACAAAAATACTGAATGGATTAGAAAAGACAATTTGGATGAAATGTGGATGCAGTTCCTTGCAAAGGAAAATGTGAAATATTGTCCTTGTCTATTATATTTTTTCTGAATATATGAAACAAATTTTGCTTTTCTCTTATTTTTGGTCATAGAGCCTACAGAGCCCTTAATATGTACAGAAAACATTTAATATGGGTTTGAGTTATAAGGTAAAGAGATGTAAAATTAAAGCCCTGGCTGGGTGCAGTAGCTCATGCCTCTAATCCTAGCACTTTGGGAGGCTGAGGCAGGAGGATCACCTGTGGTCAGGAGTTCAAGTCTGGCCTGGCTAACATGGTGAAACCCCATCTCTACTAAAAATACAAAAATTAACCAGGTGTGATGGCACACGCTTGTAATCCCAGCTACTTGGGAGCCTGAGGCAGAAGAATAGCTTGAACTCGGTAGGCAGAGGTTGCAGTGAGCAGAGATCGTGCCATTGCACTCCAGCTTGGGTGACAGAGTGAGACTCAGTCTCAAAAAAAATAAATTAATTAAATTAAAGCCCTAGTAATTTGTAAATACAAAGATTGTATATTTTTCATCTTATAAACTGTCTTAATCCATTTTTATTCCTATAAAAGAATATCTAAGACTGGGTAATTTAGGAAGAATAGGGGTTTGTTTAGCCCGTAGTTCTATATGCTGAGAAGATCAAGGTCAAGGATCTGTCTTCTGGTGAGGGCATTCATGCTGCATTACAACATAGCAGAGAAGGTCAAAAAAAAAAAAAAAAAAGGAGGAGACATGCAAAGAGGAGGAAAAGCTGAGGAGCATTCTGGCTTTATAACAACCCATTTTTGAGGGAACTAATCCATTCCTAGGCGAACAAATCCAGTCTTAGGAAAGTGAGAACTCACTACTACAAGAACAGCACCAAGCCATTTATGAGGAACCTACCCCCATAACCCAAACACCACCCACTAGGTCCCACCTTTAAACGCTGACACATCGGGGATCAAATTTCAACATGAATTTTGGTGGAGAAAAACAATTAATATTCAAACCACAGCATAAACTTACAACCTAATAACCATAATAAACAATAAATTTATTTCCTAATAATCGTATTTTCTTACAACGTTAGGAATAACTGACAAATGGCAACTATCTATGAAGATTCACAGCTGTTAAAAATAATTATTTTTAATATTTACTGTCCATTATTTCTATACATTATATGGAAAGATAAAAAATATGTTAAACAAAGATTTTTATATGTATAGACCAATATATATATGCATACATATATTGCAATTTATATACCAATAAATACACCAATATATATACACATATACATATATGTACATGTAAAACATTTTTGTTTAACATATTTTTCTCTTTCCATATCACAAATAGAAACAATGTGCAGTAAACATTAAAACTAATTATGTTTAACAGCTATGAATCTACGTAGAGAGTTGTCATTTAATAGTCTTTCCTTTCCCACTGAGACAATTTCAGGAAAGTAAACATATTCTTTTAATTGTTTAACTGCCTAAAAATAAATAAGGCTCTGGGGATTCATTTAATTATTCTCAGAATTAATTTAATTTTTCCAAATACGATAATTTAATTTGTGTGTGTGTTGTTTTGTTTTTCCAAAGGTCATAAAGTACATCAGTTCAAATATCCCTGTGTTTTGTTCATTAAATTTCCCTTTTTAAAAAAGAGAATTGCTTAAAGTACTAGGTTATTGATTTAGCATATAGTGAAGGTTTTCATGTGTTTGTGTAGAAGGACTCTCAGCCTGAACCAGGGCTAAACCATCTTAGGTTTTCCTAGAGCTATCTGGAGTACTGAGTAAGTGGCTGCTTACAATAGAGACATCACAGGAAATAACTCACCCTAAGGAAATGGAGTTTAGACAATAATTAGGTAGACAATAATACTCAGTACTATGTCAAAATTGGCCATTAAGCAGATCACAAGTAACTTCATCAGTTTAAGCTCAACATGAAACATAAGAACCATACTCATTAAAGAAAGAAACAATGCTGGGGAAATCTGTTCTCCCCGCTATTATCCAACATTTTAGTGGAGGCCCTAGTCCATGCAATAAGATAAGAAAAAGAAGAGTGGTTTGAAGATTAGAAAATGATCATACAATAACTATTACTGTTATATTTTATTAAAATCCATCTAGAACTTGCAAGTCTAATATGGTAGCCACTGACTTCATGTAGCTACTGAGCATTTGAAGTATGGCTAGTTGGAGTTGAGATGTGTCATAAGTGTAAAACACAGGTGAAATATTTTTAAAGATATATTTGAAAAAAATGCAAAATATCTCATTAAAAATGTTTATATTCAGAATAGAAGTAATATTTCAGATAGATAAGGTTAAATAATATAGATTGCTAAACTTAACCTGTTTCTTTTTACTTTTAAAAATGTTTACTAAAAATTTAAAATTGCATACTGACTCAAATTATATTTTTATTGCACAGCACTGTTCTAGAAAATTCAAGAGAATAAATTCACAAATTATTAGAAATTCTAAATTTCAAGTGTTTGAGAAAGTTTTAATTTATATTTTTAAAAGATTAGAGCAGATTAAAAAGTTATACATTTAATAATTCTATTTGGTCTAATTAGCATTTTTTAAAAGCTTTAGTGAGATCTAAATGGTAAAATTTAAAATTCTCTCATTTAAAAGGCACAATTTAATGTTTTTTAGTATATTCATAAGGTTATAAAACTATCATCACAATCTAATTTTAGGACATTTTGTCACTCCTAAAAAATACTCATTAGCAGTCAATTCCCATTTCCCCTACCTTACCTCCTCAACCATAAGCTACCACTAATCTGTTTCCTATCTATATAAACTTGGTTTTTCTGCACATTTCATATAAATGACATCATACTATATCTATATAGTATTTTTGTGACTGGCTGTTTTTCCTTAGCATAATGTTTTCATGTTGTAGTATTTACCAATACTTCCTTTCTTTTTATTTCCAATATTTCATTATATGAATATACAACATTTCATTTATTCATTTATCAGTTAATAAGACATATGGGTTGTTTACCCTTTTGTCTATTATGAATAATGTTGCTATGAATAAGTTTTTGTTTTTGTTTTTTTGAGACAGAGTCTCACTGTCACCAGGCTGGAGTGCTGTGGAGCGATCTTGGCTAACTGCAACCTCTGCTTCCTGGGTTTAAGTGGTCCTCCTGCCTCAGCCTCCCAAGTAGCTGGGACTACAGGCACGTGCCACCACACCCAGCTAAGTTTTGTATTTTTAGTAGAGACCAGGTTTCACCATGTTGGCCAGGATATTCTGGATCTCTTGACCTTGTGATCTATCTGCTTCCGCCTCCCAAAGTATTGGGATTACAGGCGTGAGACACTGCACCCAGCCAAGTTTTTGTATGTTTTTATTTCTCTTGGGTATATACCTTAGAAGTGGGATTTCTGGGACATATGGTATCTCTATGTTTAAAGTTTGAGGAACTGCCAAACTGTTTTTCAAAAGGTCTACACCATTTTACAATCACCCCCAATGTACAGGGGTTCTGATTTCTCTGCAGTCTCATCATCACTCATGATTCCCATCAGCCTCTGTATCCAGGAGGTTTATATTTGTTAATTCAACTGACCACAGATTGAAAATATTTGGGGGCCAGGGATAGTGGCTCACGCCTGTAATCCCAGCACTTTGGGAGGCTGAGGCGGGCAGATCACCTGAGGTCAGGAGTTCCAGACCAGACTGGCCAACAGAGGGAAACCCCATCTCTACTAAAAATACAAAAAACAAGTATCCAGGTGTGGTGACACATGCCTGTAGTCCCAGCTACTCAGGAGGCTGAGGCATGAGAATTGCTTGAACCTGGAGGTGGAGGCTAGCCTGGGTGACAGAGCGAGATTCTGTGAAAGAAGAAAGAAAAGAAAACAAAAGAAAAGAGAAGAGAAGAGAAGAGAAGAGAAGAGAAGAGAAGAGAAGAGAAGAGAAGAGAAGAGAAGAGAAGAGAAGAGAAGAGAAGAAAAGAAAAAAGAAAAGAAAGAAGGAAGGAAGGAAGGAGAAAGAGAGAGAGAGGAAGGAAGGAAGGAGAGAGAGAGAGAGAAAGGAAGGGAAAGAAAAAAAAAGAAAGAAAGAAAGAAGGAAAGAAAGAAAGAAAGAAAAGAAAGAAAGGGAAAGGAAGAAAGAAAGAAAAGTAAAAGGGAAAATATTTGAGAAAATTATTGCACAAAGTTCAAAAAAAGCAAAACTTGAATTTGCTGAACAACTAGTACTACGTTGAATCAATGTGAATGAAATGATTTATAGGCATTGTAGTAGCAATTATAGGTAATCTAGAGATTATTTAAAGTATACAGGATGATGTGTATAGGTTAGATGCAAATACTATGCCAGTTTATATATGGGACCTGATCATTCTTGGATTTTGTGTCTGTTGGAGGGCCCTGGAACCAATCCCCCATGAATACCAAGGGACTACTGTTATTTGTCCTCTTGGTTATACCTAACATGGGAAATGTGAATTGGTAACTCATTGTTTTGATTTTTATTTTTCTAATGACTAAGGTTACTGAGCATTGTGTCATATGTTTATTAGCCATTTGAATATCTTTGGAGAAACAGCTATTCAAAATATTTGCCTATTTAAAAATTGGATAGTCATCTTTTTATTATTGAGTTTAACAGTTCTTTATAGGCCGGGTGCGGTGGCTCATGCCTGTAATCCCAGCACTTTGGGAGGCCGAGGCAGGCAGATCACGAGGTCAGGAGATCGAGACCATCCTGGCTAACACAGTGAAACCCCGTCTCTACTGAAAATACAAAAAAAAAAAAACAATTAGCCGGGTGTGGTAGCTGGCGCCTTTAGTCCCAGCTACTCTGGAGGCTGAGGCAGGAGAATGGTGTGAACCCGGGAGGCAGAGCTTGCAGTGAGCCAAGATCCGGCCACTGCACTACAGCCTGGGCGACACAGTGAGACTCCATTTCAAAAACAAAACAAAACAAAACAAAAACAGTTCTTTATATATTCTGGATACAAGTGCCTGATCAAATATATAATTTGCAAATATTTTCTCACATTCTATTGGTAGTCTTTCTTGATGGTCATATTTGCAATGCAAAAGATTTTAACTTTTGGTAGTCTCACATTTTTTTTGCTTGTTCTTTTGATGATGTGACTAAGAAATCATCAACTAACTAATCTAACCCAAGGTCATGATGAATTATGCCTATGTTTTCTTCTATGTGGATTTATGGTTTTAGCCTCTATGTTTGAGATCATTGTCCATTTAGAGTTAATTTTTGCAAATGGGTGAGTTGTGTCCAAATTTATTCTTTTGTTTGTAGATATCCAGTTGTCCCAGGGATAGTTGTTGGAAAGAATATTCTCTACACCCTTCCCCTATGCATTTAATTGTCTTGGCACCCTTCTGGAAATCAAATGACCATAAATGTGCTTAATTTCTAGAATCTCAATTATTTTCTATTGATATATATGTCTATCCTTATGCCTGTAATATACTGTGTTGATTACTGTAAGCCTTGGAGTAAGTTTAAAAACTTAGAAATGTGAGTCCTCCAACTTTGCTCTTTTCTGAGATTATTTTGTCTATTCTGGGTTCCTTGTATATGTACATTAATTTTAAGATCAGTTTGTCTTTTTCAACAAAAGAAGCCAATTGGGCTATCAATAGGAATTGCATTGATGCTGTAGATTTGGAAAGTATTGCCATCTTATCAATATTAAGTCTTCTGATCCATGAACACAGGGTGCCTTTTCATTTATTTAGACTTTACCTTTTTCAATAATGTTTTATGATTTTTCAGTTTCAAGTCTTGTGCTTCTTTTATCAAATTTACACCTAAGTATCTTATTTTTGATGCTACTTTAAATAGAATTGTTTTCTTAATTTTATTTTCAGAATACTATTGCAAAAATATAGAAATACAATTAATTTTTGTATATTGGTCTTGTATAGTGCAACTCTGCAAAACTCATTTATTAACTCTAACAGTTTTTTGTGGATTTCTTAGTGTTTTATGTCATCTGTAAATAGCATAGTTTTGCTTCTTCCTTTCCAATCTGGGTGCCATTTATGTATGTATGTATTTCCTAATTGCCCTGTAAATAGAAGTACCAAAAATGTATATCCTTAACTTGTTCCTAATCTTATAGGGAAAGCATTCAGTTTTTCTCAGTTAAATATAATGTTAGCTGTGGTTTCTTCATAGATGGCATTATTAGAGTCTGTGATAGCATTTTTAAGCCTACCTTTCTAGGAGTTACCCTGGGTCAGAGTAGCTTATTGTTCAGTCAGTTTTTGCCAGAAGTTGTGTGAAGCTTCTTCCCTGTGTTGATGGGTCTGTCTGTGACTTGGGTAGATTTGGAAATGCTTTCAAGTCAGCTCCATGTCCTGCTCTGATTGCCCCCAAATGGGTGCAACCCAGCACTTACACACAGCCCTTCTAACCTGTGGAACTGTCTATAATCACAGGGAAGTTCACCTTGATTGTCTCTCGTTCCCACTGTTAAACTTTTGGCTGTTCTGCCATTTTGCCTTTATCAGATCTACTGCTCTTTTAATTTTTTCAACAATAATCTCCATTATTTTAGACAATGAACATACAATGGAATTCGTCTCTCTTTTTCCCAAATGAAGTCAGTCTCTATCGGCAGAGCTGTGAAACTCTTTGCCTTTATGGCTTGCTTTTCTCCCGAAAAGAAATCCTACATCAATTTGCTAGAGCTAGGAATGGGGACCGCTTTCTGATAATGACACTCTTGCTCTGTGAGTAGGCATGGGAAGGGGTGGCAGCCCCTCCAGGCATGGAACCTCTGCCCTACGAAAGAACTGGGGCTGTGGCAATCAGGAGCTTAGTATTCTCAGTCTGCCATGCCTGAAAGCCTGCCAGCCATCCTACAAGTCAGGGCTGGGTGAAACTAGAGAAGCCTGGTCCCCTTGGCTGTTCCTGCCTGGAAGAGAGCTTCTGCAAGGGAGAGTTGGAGAGAATGGGGAAGAGAAATGTCAGCAGTCTGCCCTTCCCACAGTGAAACTATAGCTTCAGACTAGGAGGCTGGGGAAGGGAGTACCACTGTCTCCCTGACCACACCTATGTGACAGTAGGGCTTCTGGCTTAAAGTTTCCCTAACACACAGATGGGGGATAGTAGAGGTTAATGGAGTGAATTCTGACTGAAATATCATGGACTCTTGCTGTTCTCAGGTTCACTAGATTTTCTTGAATAAATGTTTCTTTATTTCCTGTTTTTCCTTGGGACTATTTATAGACACTTTTCATGTTTTTTTTAAATAACTTTCACAAGTTAAATTGTTGTTTCCCTGGGAAAGGGTCCACTGGCAGTCCCGCCCCTGATTTGTGTTTTGCTATGTTTCCTTGAATGGAAAAGAAAGGGAAGGAGTTATAGTGTCATTCCTGTAATAGCACACAGGACTATATCACTGGAATGAAGACGTAATATCCCATGTGTGATATGGTAAAATGTTGGGGACATCTAAAATAAACAATGAACAGTTTAAGGGTTTTGAACAAAGGAGGAATAGGATGGTATCTGCTATGAATATGGCAGTTCTTGCAACTACCACAAGAATATGAATTTGATAATGATAAGATGGGCAACAAGAAAATAGATTAAGAAGCTTTCAAAACTGAATCATATGTCTTATCAGTGCTCTCATTTGCAGTTTGTCCAGGAGGGAAAGCTATGCAAATGAATCCATAAAGGCATATATTAGAATTGATGACATTTGAATGGAAAAGAGGGGTGAGGGACAAGATATAGTGGAGGAAAATTTTATTGACTTTGGCAATGGATTGGTTGAAGAAAGGGAAGAAAAATAAAGCATCAAGGGTTACATTGAGTTCCTAAGGCAACCACCCTGTTTGTCGTTTCCAGAAACAGGGAATTCAGACAAAGGCTCTAATTTGTAGGGAAAGCTAGTGGATTTGGATGTTAGACTTAATGAAGATGAGTACCATTGCTGCTATAAAGAAGGTCTGGATTCATCAGATCTGAATTGTTAATTTGTATCTGGATTTTAGGAGAGAAGTTATTGCTAATGAAGCCGTGAGTGTAAATTAAATAGATTATATAGACATAAAAGGGTCAGGAACTCCCTGGAAGAGCTGCATATAAGGGAATAGAGGGTGACGGAGTTAGTAGAGGAAACTCCAAAGGAGTAGTCAAGGGAAAGAAATAGAGACAAGAGGATAGTCTCTGTTATGCTTACAATTCAACTTATTATCTGTATGTTATCCAGTCTTTAGATTATCAATGTTTCTGTAATTTTATTTTAAAATCTCAAGCCCAGTGTCAGTTTGGTACAGGAAGATATAGTCGATGGCTTCATCACTGAGTTATTTTACAGAAAAATATTTTATTCCTTTTATAAGATCCTTCTGGTGATCTATTCTATGCCCCTAGATCAGAAATGAAATACAAAATTAATACACTGGGACACTCCTAGCCTGCCTTCCTCCTATATGTCTACATCCCAGTGCAAGTATTTAAAGCAGGGATGCCTATACCTTCACTTAAAGTTCAATGAATTCTTAATTTAAAATGAAGAAATACATTGAGCTTACTTATTAGGGTATTTGCCTAAATGAGTTATTTTACTTTGGTGCCTAAGATGTGGTCTCCATTCTACTTTCTACTGCTTTCTATTTCTGCTACCAACTTTTTTCCCCTCTCACCTTCTTTTGTTTCTTAGTCTATGGAGTCCTGCAAGTACAGCCAGCTCAGCACAGGTTACTCTCAAGGTGAGAGAGTCTTCACATTTCATACCTTCAAATGGCAATGACAATAGCTGATATTTATTAAGCATTTAGTATATGCCAGATGCTATATTAAACATTTTAATGTATCAATTTATTTTTTAATTTTTATTTTTTTGAGACGGAGTCTCACTCTGTCGCCCAGGCTGGAGTGCAGTGGCATGATCTTGGCTCACAGCAACCTGCGCCTCCCAGGTTCAAGTGATTCTCCTGCCTCAGCCTCCCGAGTAGCTAGGATTAGAGGCACGTGACACCACACCCGGCTAATTTTTATATTTTTAGTAGAGATGGGGTTTCATCGTGTTAGCCAGGATGGTCTGGATCTCCTGACCTCGTGATCCGCCCACCTCGGCCTCCCAAAGTGCTGGGATTACAGGCGAGAGCCACCACGCCCAACCTGTATCAATTATTTTGACCTTCACAAACACACTCTTTAGTAGGTACAGTTGTTATTGCCATTTTGCATATATGTGAACTGAAGCACAGGGAACTGTAAGCCCTGCTCAGACTCATATAGCCAGGGCCTGTGCAGAAGCAAGATGCCACCACTCGCTAGCTCAGAGCCAGACCTATCTTTTCCACTCACCACCAGAATCTATAATTATCAGAGCCAACATTTTCCTTATCTATTTCCATAGATCTTTACGAAAAAAATCTCAAATCATATATTCTTTCTCAGACCCAAAGTACTTGGAAGTTAAAATACAAATCTGATACAATTCTACTGAAAAGTTACTTATAATTCTACTGAAGTTACTTATAGCAACTTATTGTCAAAACCTACAGGTTCATCAAATATGAACCTAATAGAAAAATACAATCTGAGAACTATTAACAGACATGGTAGTTTGCAAATAGGTTTGAAAAAAAAAGTGTCATCTGAAAAGCAGGCCTTTCATTAACAACATTTTTTCTTTTCCTTTCTTTTTATTTTGAAAAATAGTTCCCACTCTTTATTTTCCCTTTCCTATTGCTGATATCTTTCACTGTTTATTTAATACCAATGGAACTGGACTCTAAGTATCAATGGTTCAGCCAGTCCAACACTTGAATAAATATTATTGGGCTCCAAATGCAAAGCTGTTGGATGTAAGAGACACCAGTACATTACTCACAGTGGTATTCCATAACAGAATGATGGGCAGCATGCCATTCAATATCTCATCCCATTCCACATTACAGACAGCAATTACACAAGTATGCATGGGGCCAAAGGCCTTGGGACTTTTCCTAAGAAAGGAACATGCTTACACCAAGGGTCAGGTTTGATAGATATCCCTATTTAAAGTAAGCATGCAGCTGAAGCTTCAGCCAAAGATCCAGCTGGTAATTGTAATACTGAAAGTGGCATTGGAAAAACTTGTTAGATTTTTAAGTGGCAATAGAGCAGCCAGTTGAGAGGAAATAGTTAAGCCCATTCACAGGTTTAATCCCGGAAAATATATACTGGAATAACTGTTACTTGTTTGTGAGGAAAAATATGTCTAAAGCACTTAAAATTAGCACTGAAAGTCTGGGTCTTTGGCCCCAGTTATTTACTCAGTCGCTATGATAAACCTTTATGCATTTTTATTGGGGAGACTTGGCCACAATGCTGTTTTGCTCCTAAGATGTGCTTTGGCTTTGTGAACAAGAAGTGCACCAAGATAAACCTTGGAACATATTTAAATCCAGTTATTTAACTCGCAGTAAACAAGGTCACAAGCAGCAAACTTGGTAAAATGAAATGCTCTTTATGAAAAAAGATAATCAAATATAACCTAGTCCACAGCAAAACCGAGACCCTTCCCAGACCTTTCTTTGGGTTCAGATGGGAGAATGCATAGTTGTCTCTCTCCTCCTTGTTCATCACTATGAGCCCATTCAGATGTGGTATGGGGGAAGAGGGGAGGGAATCTGCCTCAGTGACTCCTATTACACTGTTAAACCAATTTGTATCCTAGATGCAGATAGCTGGTGGGTTGCCCTAATTTTCAGGAATATTATAAAAGCTTTGCTATTCTACTGATCCTTCTTCTCAGTATTGCAAGGTAGCTCAACACAGCAAGTAGGACAAGTAAAATTCATTTCATTTATAAGAACACCCTTCAGGCCCCTCTCCCTTTGAAATATGAGAAAGAATTAGGCCTATTCATGCGAGTCAAGTATTTAATCAGATTGTAAAAATAATATTTACTAGTGTGCTCTTAGAGTCACTGAACATTTGGGACCCTAATTAAAAGTATGATTGTAAAGTTTTTCCCATTGGGAACTACTTACATTTGCAGACGTTTTCCAAGTATCTCTTTCCACAGGAATTTGCCTTTAATTTTTGAATTGAAACACACACACACAAACACTGAAACCAGGAATTTAATCACAGCTGGATGGATTGTGCACAGATGTCTCACGCAAGTTAGCATAGAGCTGAAAGACAAAAATAAAACTGAGGGAGAAATCAGTGTTATCTTTTATTGACACATAGAAGGGCAGAACTGGGTGCTTTAAAGGAACACAATAACTAATAGCTAGTTGATTCATTAGCTGATTAATTCTTATAGAGTCAGAGAATAGGAAAATAATGCTTAAATTCTCCTTCAGAAACTCTCTTGTTTTGCTTGTTTTGATATAGTTTATATTTAAAAAGGTAACAAAATTCTGAAATATAACAGGATAGACCAAATAGATCCACTTAAGGAAAAATGCACATATTTAAATAGATGACTTATCTCCTCTAATCTTTTGTGCTTCTAGTCTTTAATTCATTTTTTAAAATTCCCATTGTCATAGTCCCAGCTTATGTTAGCCGAGAAATAATCTTGTTTAAACGTGTGCACGTAGGCCGGACGCGGTGGCTCACGCCTGTAATTCCAGCACTTTGGGAGGCCGAGGCGCGTGGATTACGAGGTCAGGAGATGGAGACAATCCTGGCTAACACGGTGAAACCCCGTCTCTACTAAAAATACAAAAAATTAGCCAGGGGTGGCAGCGGGCACCTCCAGTCCCAGCTACTCAGGAAGCTGAGGCAGGAGAATGGCGTGAACCCGAAAGGCGGAGCTTGCAGTGAGCCAAGATCACGCCACTGCGCTCCAGCCTGGGCGGCAGAGCGAGACTCCATCTCAAAAAAAAAAAGTGTGCACAGAAGTTGATTTCTTTCAGCCTGTGTGCAACATTGAAGGTGGCATTGAAATTAGAGAATATAATGAGGAGTATCTCAAATGTAAAACAAATTTTACTGCCTTTTCTCAGTGTTCACCATCCCATAGGAATTAATAAAATCAAATTCACGGTAATAATTCAGTTATCACTGTCTTTGCTAACATGGAATCTCTAGGCCTCAGCAATGTCCCTTCCAGGTGTCCTTAGTCGTCCTCAGGGAGAGGCTTTCAAGTGCTTGAAAATATGAATACTCGCCAAAGAGCAGCCGATACTCCATTTCTCAGTGCCCTCATAAAACCCAGCTGAAACTGAATAACTTTTGTAATGTTTAATGGCTTTTCCCCTTTCTGTCATATTTTACTAAATACTTCTCAAATCAGCCCTATTTGCACTCTAGTATCTTAGAATATTTGGTGAAACAGCTCCTTCAATCCTGTTGTTTTGTTTCCATGTGTATCTGAGTTTATTCTTAGAATCTACATAGGTAATCAAGGCTTAGGCTAGGTGCGGATTGCATAGGAGCTACCATACCGTGCTCAGTGTCACAAATATGATTTTGCAGCTTACTCAGTGTCTTAGTGCCTAACTCCTCCTTCTCCTGAATAGACTATATTGTTATTATCTGAGAAGATTCTCTAGCCCCTCAGCTAATAGCTTCTCTTTGGCCAACATAAGCAGTTAATCACACACACCCAGACCTGTCCCTAAATGAGTCTGAACTCAAGCTGGAACCTCTGACAAAACCATGTAATTGTCCTTATATATAAAAATTTATGTTACCAAGTAGTCACTGCATTTTTAAAAGTAAGACATTAATACTATGTAAAAGATTTGTTTCTCTTTTGGAACCAATGGCCATCATGCCCATCACTTTCTGAATTCACACCTTCCAAAGAGGTCCAATTTGAGGGGCCCTGGAGAAAAGACGACTGTAGGAAACCATGAACAATGCTGTGTTGGCTAAAGTATCACAATGCTGCCTCGTGGAATTAGCTATAGACCACATTTAATAGAATCTTCTCTTCTTTCATCTGGGTAACATTTACCAGTCTTTCCATAGGGAGAAGAAGAAATAACAGTTGGCGTTCTGTTCTGCTGAGACACAAAAAGCAGGCACACGTTGAAGGTCAACGCTACAGTCTGTCAAGTTGTGGGATGTGTGTGAGGCAGAGCATTTGTTTCATTCCCCCCTCATATTAAAGAAAGTATCTAATCATGTCCCTTTGAGCAAAAGGATGAAAAAAAAAACTTGGAAAGCATCAGTGTTCTTTGGATCACTTGACAGTGCATGAATTATCAACATATATGAAATTATTCATTTATGCAAAACTGTAATTTGTATAGCCTCTTATTCAGCATGAATACTATACATGTGTGCCAAACACACACAGTCGTAACTTCATTAGAATAAGTATTCAAGGCAGGGATGTCTAACCTCTAATTTCCTTCCCTGTCGCACACACACGCACACATAAATTGCAAGAGAAAGTCCGCATTTCCTCATGATAGCCCCCTTTGTTAAAGGCAGTAACCAAAATATAGAAAATACGCAATGTTCACTGGAGAAGATTTTTATAATTGTGTGAGCAAAGTGGAGACTCCAAAGGCAATATCTGAAGGCTACGTGATCCCTTGAAAATGACAGGAACTTCACATTCCTGAAGGAATGTTACAAGGTAGCAGCAGATGAAAGTGCAGGGAGAGAAAAAAGACATATTCATTTCACATTTAAAGCACTACCACTATAGAAAATATACAGAATCTGTCCTCTTAATTATTCCACAAATTTAGTATTAATTAGCTAAGGGTTTTGAAAGTTTCACAGTAAGAGTGAAATAATTGTATAAATTCATTCTATAAAAAGAACCAACTTCCTGATTATTTGGATTATCTCAGTAGGAGATAAAGAAGGAGAAAGAGGAGGAGAAGAAGGAGTAGGAGAAAAGAAAGAAACAAAAACAACTAAAATGTCGCAACCTATTGGGCTAAGTAAATACAACCAAAACAACTAACAGATGGCTTTTTCTTTATGATCAATTTTTATGTGCCCAATAGTAATATTTACATTTGTGGTTTTTTTTCCAGGGATAGTGGAATGGGAGATCAAGGGTGATGGTTACAGTAACCAACTCTGTTCATTCTTTCTGACAGAAGAAATGCCATTTCAGGAGTAGTGGTTGTGGTGGTGGTGGTGGCTAGCTTTCCAACTGTCTTTATGGGCAGGCACAAAGGAAAGGGTAGAGGCAGCCAAAACTATTCAACAGCAAAGACTCATTAGTGTCTGAATGTGGAGCCCCAGCAACACAGCCCTTTGTAGAGTGAGTAAATGCCAGGAATGCTCACTGCTTTCCTCTTACCCAAACCCTACTCCAGCTCTTAACTGCGGAAGCTTTCATTGATTTGATTTGTTTTTAGCAAAGGAGGGAGAAGGGAGTCCCAAACAAGTTGAGCAAGAGGCTTAATCCCACACTGTTTTCCAAGAAGAAAATCTTTGATGGACAGTCTACCTCTATAACCTCATCCTGTACATCTCTAGTCTACGGAATCCTCAGTGGACCTTCAAAGAGCTAAGCGTTAACTCTAGACATGCCTAATGGGACTGGCTGTTCAGCCCAGTGGAGCTGTTATTTAGAATAGTGGACAATTGACAAGCCATCTGATTAAGATTTTATTATTTTTGTTATTAGTAGTGGTATTTAAATAGAGGTAGAAAGGAAGAAATAAAAGTTGTAAAATGCTGCATGAAACCTCTTTGACTCATCATTTATATCTCCAATATCCAGATATTTTGTTATCATCAACCAACCACTGAGCACATTGAAATGACATATCATTGTGGAAAAGAAAAAAAGATGCCAAATATCACATAAAAAGAAGAAACACTAATCCAAGTCTACTTACTTTATGTAGAGCTAGCTATGAAGATAATGTTTTAAATTGTTATTAGAGACTTCTGGTTTCAGCTCTGAAATGAGAGTGATCATTTCCATGCTGTATGTAAATACTACTACAAGAGAAAGTTGGATGGTTGTAGGGCAAACCAACACCCTGAAATTGGGAGAAACAAGCACATGGAGAGAATGACAGCTAAGATCAGCTGACCAGGAGCAGAAGCAGCTGGAGCACATAAACTGGTAAGACACTTAACTGGTGATTTGGTGAATCGCTGGAGTCAGAATGTGGACTACTACTCTGAGAGTGAGAAACTCCATTTGGGCTGTAGTACTGGGGAGCTTTGCCCCTTTAAGGGCTTTAACTCCAGAAATCACACTGGGCAATCATGATAAATAGCTGAGCTCTCATGGCTTTGATAAAGGGAGATAAAAGTAATTATTGTAAAATACATCCAGAGCTTTCTCTATAACAGAGCCCTACTCTGCAGGGGAAATATTTTTGCAGATCCTTATCCCAGTTGGAGAAGGGCATTTCTTCTACTTTATCCCCCTTGAGTCCTTCTAGTCTCACCAAAGTGTGGTTGTGTGTATGGAGGGAATAGTCAACAGAGATCAGGACTTCAAGGAGATAAATTGGGAACACTGTAGTCAGGGAAGTAGGGAAGTGGGATGGGGAGGGGCTATATCACTGAAAAACACTTGTGAAAGTCAGAGCCCAGAGACACAGGCTCACTAAAAGACTGAGGTATAATTGGAACATTATAGAACATTCCTCTCCCCCATATCTTACCCCCACATCAGCAAGGCTCCAGTATAAATATAATTACAATAGGTCACAGTTGAAAAAGTTGTAAGACCCACTTTCTGAGGAGGAATATTTAGAGAAGGCCAAAGTAAATGAGGGAGATGAGTAAAAGGAATACTCGAGGAATATGAGGCCTCTGACAACTACAGGTACAGCAAATATTAAAGACAGTCTAGCTCCTAGCCAGATTAACATAAAACTCCACACTAAAGGTCTATTTAATCAGTAGGCCAAGAAGTAAGAAAAAGAAAAAAAACGTGAGGAAACAAAGCAACCATAAGAAACAGATTCGTATGTTACACAGAGGTTAGAATTATTAGACAAGGAACTTGAAATAACTATGATTAGTATGTTAAGGGGTCTAACAGAAAAAGTAGACAGCATGTAAAGTACAGATAGATAATATAAGCAGAGAAAGGAAGCTCTAAGGAAGTGCAAAAAGAAAAGGCTGGTAATAAAAAGTACTGAAACAGAAACAGAAAATGCCTTTGATGGGCTTATCAGTAGACTTGACCTGACCAATAAAATAATCAGAGAACCTGAAAATAGGACAATAAAAACTTTCCAAACTAAAATAAGAAAAGATAAAAAGAATATCATAACACCCAAGAGCAAGAGCTAGGAACATTTTTTCAACAGGTGTAAACTATGCATTATTGGAATACCAAAAGGAGAAGAAAGAACAATTGGAACAGGAAAAAACACTTGAAATATTTATGGTCAAGAATTTTCCAAAATTAATGACACACACCAAACCATAAATCCATGATCCAGGAAGCTCAGAGAGCCCTAGCAGGATGAATATCAAGAAAACATACCTCAGTATATTATATTCATACTGCAAAAAACCAAAAACAATTAGAAAATCTTGAAAGAAGCTGAGACGGGTGCTTGGGAAGGCATTAATTAAAGAGAATCAAGAATAACAATTACAGAAGACTTCTCATCAGAAACCATGCAAACAAGAAGTGAGAGAAGTGAAATGTTTAAAGTGTTGATGAGGAGGGAAAAAAAGCATCAATAATTGAGACAATTGATTATGAGCAGACCTGCCCTGCATGAAAAAGTTCTTTAGGCAGAAAGAAAATGATATAGGTTAGAAATTTGGTTACATGTAAGGAAAGAAATAATATCAAAGAATAAATGAAAGGAAAATACAATCTTTTATTTTTTATATTTTCATTGATCTGATAATTTTACAGTGTTTAATGTAACAATGGTAATACATTGAGTGATCGTAGTATATGAATAAGTAAAATGAATAACAATAATGTTGCAAGGGATGAGAGAGAGAAATCAGGAATATTATGTACTTACACTACTTATGAAGTAATATAGGGTTATCTGAAGACAAATTATTAAAAATTTGCATGGCAAAATCTAGAAAACCATCATAATTTTTTTAAAAGCATAATTGTTATGGTAAGAGAAAAGATAATGTAGAATCATTTTCAATGCTTAATTACAACTGGAGAAGGGAGAACAATAGGAATGAAAAATAAAAAGCAAATGCCACAAATAGAAAATAACTATGAACCTAGCAGATATTTATCCAACTTTATCAATAATTACTTTATATATGATTATCTAAAGGCTTCAGTTAAAACACAGAGATTGCCAGAGTTTGTATAAGAAGGCTACTTTAAATATAACTCAGGTAGAATGAATAGAGATATGCTATGTTACTATGCTAACAGTAATCAAAAGAAATCTGAAGTAACTATGTCTATGTTAGTTTCAGACAAAGCTGACTTTGAAACAAGGAAAATGCTTAGGAATAGAAATGATATTATCTAATGATAAAGAGACATTATATAATGACAAGGGGGCATTACGTAACTATAATGTTCAAGAATATATAATAACCCTAAACATGTATGCACCTAATAAGAGACCACTAAAATACATGAGGCAAAAACTGATAGAACTAGACAAATGCACTATTATAGTTGCAGCCTTAATCACTCATCTGTCAGTAATTGATATATAAAGCAGGCAGAAAATCAACAATGATATAGTTGACCTGAATAGCACTGTCAACTTGATTCTCCATCCAACAGAGGCAGAATACACATTCTTCTTAAGTTCACTCAAAACATTTGCCAAGATGACATATTGATCCATAAAACACACATTAACAAACTTAAAAGAAAGGAAGTTATAAAAAATACAATTAAAGCAGAAATCAATAATAGAAAGATAACTAGAAAATTTCAAAATATTTGGAAATTAAACAACACATCTAGACAACAGATGAGTCAAAGAATGTCTCAAGATAGTTTTAAAAGATTTTAATTAATAAAAATGAAAATACAAGATATCAGAATTTTGGGGTATAGCAAAAGCAATGCTTAGGGGAAATTTATAGTTTTAAAGACTTTGGATAACTTAGATGAAGTAGATTAACTCCTTGGTCAAAATCCACACAAGGGGAAATAGATAACCTGAATAGCCTGGAAAAGGCAATAGTATAGAGATGATAAACAGACCCATTGTTGCATTTGTCAAAACCCACAGAATTTTACAGGATGTAGTGTGAGTCTTAATGTATGCAAACAAAAAAATTCATTTAGGAGGTTGAAAGATCTCAGAATGGAATGCAGATTATGATAAATGAATCTAACTGTATTACAAAGGTTTGAGTTGGCTTCACTGGAGGAGGTAGGAGAAAATGGAGCTGACCTAACTTTGAAAATGGGTGGATTTTTTAATAATCAAGGCAAAAAAGAGCTGTATATAAGAGTTTAGTTGATAAAGGTGTTTCCCATAGGTGTACAGATAAACAATTCTAAATGTAATCCCAGCTACTTGGGAGGCTGAGGCATGAGAATCGCTTGAACCTGGGAGGTGGAATTTGCAGCGAACCAAGATTGTGCCACTGCACTCCAGCACCTGGGTGACAATGAGACTCCATCTCAAAAAACAAAACAAAACAAAAACACATTTCTATACATGTAAACTGAAATCGAACAATTAAACAAAGGGATGGTAGTTGGTGATAGCCAGATGTCTCTGTTGGAGTGAGAAGTTACAGGTAAGCAAGTGGAGGAGGCTAGAATGATCCATGTGGTAAGAATGATTTGATTTGGTGACATGAACATGAGTTCATGTTTAGCTTCAGATAAACACACATGGTTAATAGAGGTATTTATAGATCTGTGTATATACTTGGGCTAGTATACACACATACATTCCCTTGCTCCGTCAGCTGAGATGGCCTAGAAACAATAACACTCTAGTAGCAACAAGCACGCCTAGAGCTTACATATTGATTTATAATTCCATTTTCTTATAAAAGGAAACAGAACTTCTTGAAGAAGTGGCTGAGTCTAGAACTAGGGCAGCAAATATACAATATGAGTCTGGAGCATCCTGTAGTGCCAGAAAGTAAGAAAGTTCTCAAACACACACACTCAAACACACAAACATACACAGACATGCACATGATGGGGGTATGTCAAGGAGTCACAAAGAGCCAACTGAAAGCATTCCCGCTAGCCAAAGTATTGAAGCAATTTGAACAACAAAATAGGGTAGTTATTGATTATAACCTAAAGTATAGAATAAATATCTGAAAGCCAATACTAATATAAACAAATGGTTAAAAAGATACATATAAAAGGCAAATTTCCCATTCAGAAGAACTCCAAATAAATTTTGTAGATATTTCACTCTCACAGAGGTGGAACAGAACCACCCCACTCCTTAAAGTATGGGCTGTGCAGCTGGGCACGGTGGCTCACGCCTGTAATCCCAGCACTTTTGAGAGGTCAAGGTCGGGGGATCACGAGGTCAGGCATTCAAGACCAGCCTGGCCAACATGGTGAAACCTCATCTCTACTAAAAATACAAAAAAAAAAAAAAAAAAAATCAGCTGGGCATGGTGGTGGGCCCCTGTAATTCCAGCTACTTGCTTGAACCCGGGAGGCAGAGGTTGCAGTGAGCTGAGATCGTGCCATTGCACTCCAGCCTGGGTGACAGAGCGAGACTCCGACTCAAAAAAAAAAAAAAAAAAAAAGTATGGGCTCTGCTTAGTAACCTCCTTTCAAAGAGTGAAGCATGTAAAGGGGGAAGAGGGGGTGTGACTTTACAGGGGAGAAAACTGATGGACGGACACTACCTCAGACAGGGGATCAAGGAGAATGTCAATATTGATGTCATGTTGACAGAATGTACCCTTGATACGATGTGATGAGAATAGCACTTTACCTTTGTGGTCTTCTTTCCCAAAACTCATAACCTCAGTCTAATCATGAGAAAAGCATAAGACAAATACCAATTAAGGGATATTCTAGAAAATACCTGACCAGTACTTCTCAAAACTGTCAAGGAAATTAAAATAAGGAAAGTCTGAGATTGTCACAGCCAAAAGGATCCTAAGGAGACATGGTGACTAAATGTAATATGGTATCCTGAATGGGATACCCTAGAACAGAAAAAGAAATTAAATAAAAACTAAGCGAATCTGAATAAAGTATGGACTTTGGTTAAAGGTAATATAATTGTGACAAATGTACCATAGCAATGTAAGTTGATAATATAGTAAGTAGGGTGTGAGGTTTATGAGAATTCTCTGTTTAGATTACCTTCACATTTTTTCTGTAAATTTAACGGTTCTCTAAATTAAAATGTATGTTTAAAAATTACTATTGGAGCTAAAATTTTTCAGCCTTTCTTTAAACATTTTAAAATAACATAAGTAGTACATGGTTATTGAACAAAAATTATAAAATAAAATAGGCAAAAAGAAAGTAAAAAAATCACCAAAATTTCAATTCTTAAAAATAACCACTGTTAATATTTGGGGGTATTACTATTCAGACTTACACATATATATTTTTTCTTTATATTAGGATAATCCTATATGCACCATTTTGAATCCTGTGTTTTTTCACAAAAATATATATTTTCAATATCAATTCATTGTAAAAACAGACATCTTTATCATAATGTTTAATTATGACAGTATTCTATTTTGCCTTTGTAATGTGATTCATGTAACTAGTCTCCCTACTGAAGCATTAAATTATAGATTTCCCGCCAAACCCTTTGTAAGCATACTAATAAATTATTTCAGGTTAAAATCTTAGAAGCAGATTGTTTAATTAAAAGATATGTTCTTTCTAAAGCTGTTTGATATATATTGATACGTTTCCTTACAGAGTGGTTATACAATTTTATACTCCTCCTAGCAGTATAACTGCATGGACTTTTCTTTATCTCTTAGTCTGTCTTGTGCCACTATAAGAAAATACCATATGCTGAACAATTTATAAAGAATGGAAATTTCTCACAGTTCTAGGGGGTGGAAGGTCCAAGATCAAGGCCCAAAGTCCAGGTTCATTGTCTGCTAAGGGTGCACTCTCTGCTTCCAAAATAGTGACTTAAACACTGTGTCCTCCAGAGCAGAACACTATGTCCTCAGATGGCAGAAGGCAGAAGAGCAAAAAGGGACAATCTTCCTCTGTCAAGCCTTTCTATAAGGGTATATACCTCATCCCTTTCATGGGGTAGAGCCCTCTGGACTCAATCACCTCCTGAAGGCCACACCACCTAAGCGTACTCTCTTCAGAATTTAGAATTACATGCTTACAATAAAAAAAAATAATTTTCCAATGTAGAAGAAAAAAAAGATATTTGATTGTTATTTTAATTTGCATTTATTTATTAGGTTGGTGCAAAAGTAATTGCGGTTTTTGCCATTAGTGAGATTGAAGATGTATTCACATATTTAATGCTCATTTTCATTTATTTTGTGAATAGCCTCTATGTATCTTTTGCTTGTTTTTCTATGATTGTATGTCTTTCATTTAATTTGTTAGAATTCTTTATATATTAACAAGAGTAGTTCTGATATAAATGCTACCAATATTTTTCCATTTAGTTTAAAATTTCTTATAATTTTTTTCTTCTTTCCTTTCTTCCTTCCTTCTTCCCTTCCTCCCTCTCTGTCTCATTTTCTCTCCTTTTCTTTCCTTTCTTCTTTTTGCAATAAAGCCAACTATATTAAGCATTTGTTTTATACTTGTACCTCATAATTTGTTGTTATTTGTTGTGAGGTAGGGATATAACATTTTTTTTCAAGAAAGTATTAACCAGCAATTCTAACACTTCTCATGGTACATCCTTTCCCTACTGATTTACAGTTTCACTGTATAATTTTAGACACTTGTTTCTATTTCTTGGTCTCCTAATGTCATTTTTTAAATTTCAATGCCTCTTCCAGCATATGGAACATTTTTAATTTGTCATTTTCATTTTGATGACTAAATTGACAACTTCCTGAATCTTCCTGTTGCTTAGCAAACCTCAATAACCTTGAGAATGTGCAGATTTCAGGAAGTCTTTTCTTCTTTGACCACCTCCTGGGAGGAAGGGGGGCCTGGAATTTACTAATCTGAGTGGAGGTTTTAGTGTCAAATACTCTGGCCTTGGCCTTTGTGAAAGAGGAGACCATTTCCTGACCAATGATTGTCTAAATGTTAATTCCATTTTAAAAGTCAGACAATTTCGTGACCTGTTTGTTCAGATGTTAACACATGTTAAGTGCAATTGATTCTCTTGTTTTACGTTGTAGGCTTAACACTCAAGAGGTCAGGAAGGATTAGTCTCCATACCAATCTGCCCCATCCCATAGCAGTAGCACAGGATAGTCCCATGAAACTGGTCAAAAGCTTTCTCACTCTGAAAGTGAACACCATTCACCCTTAAAGCATTTATTTTCTGCTATCAAGGCAAGCTTCTCTGGGCAGGAACATGCTTTGTTAAGACTTGTTAAATCTTAACATTTCTGAGAACTCTATTCCTCCCATGTTAACAGAAGTACTTTCTTAATCACCATTTCTATTAGTGGATGCATTACGTAAGATTGGAAAAATTTTAGGGATTTGAAATCTAAGCAGTTTTAAGTGACCCAATGGATCCATGGTAAGGCTGGATCTATGGATGAGCTTTTTTCTTTCTTTCTTTCTTTTTTGTCTTACCTTACTGTTTGCTCTAAGTTTTCCAGGAAAGCAGAATTTTATGTTTGAATTTGATGCTTCTATTTATTGAATGTACATGTTTCTTCTACACATGAAGTGGCTTAGTGGTTAAAGGTATAGATAACTGAGTCAGATGGGACTCAAATTCTGGCTCCACTATTGCTAAGAATAATTATGGGAAATAAGGCAAAAGGATCACAATGATTTTTCAGTGTTATACTACAGCATTGTCTAAAAGACCCACCCAAGGATTCTTTAATTACTGTTTTTGATTTACAATTCAGATCATCTGCCCAAATATTTTAGTCTTAGGGCCCTTTTACATTTTAATTAGTTATTAAGGACACCAAATAACTCTTATTTGTGTGAGTGTATTTATTGATATTCATCATATTAGAAATTAAAAGAGAGAAAATTTTAAAGTATTTATTAGTTCATGAAAAAATAATCATAGTGATAGACCAATTACATGTTAACAGGAATAACTTTTTCTTTTTTTTTTTTTTTCCAAGACAGTCTTGCACTGTTGCCCGAGCTGGAGTGCAATGGTGCAATCTCAGCTCACTGCAACCTCCGCCTCCAGGGTTCAGGTGATTCTCCTGTCTCAGCCTCCCAAGTAGCTGGGATTACAGGTGCACACCACCACACCCAGCTAATTTTTTTTTTTTTTTTTGTATTTTTAGTAGAGACAGGGTTTCACTATGTTGGCCAGAATGGTCTCCAACTCCTGACCTTGTGATCCACCCACCTTGGCCTCGCAAAATGCTGGGATTACAGGCGTGAGCCACCGCATCCAGCCAGGAATAACATATTTTAAGAAAAAATAACTATTAATATGTTTTCCAAAGCAAAAAATTTCGTAAGATGAATGGCATCTGATGGGAGTTCAGGACATGCTGCCTCAAAATATGGCACCTTGGCACTGAGAAAATAGAAACAATAAGGTCTCTCTGAGTTTCTCCCCTGAAGCAGGCAATAAAACCTCTGTGTATAGGTACCCTCCCTATATACAGAAGAAGCAAATGTCTTTATCTCTGAAGACATGGAAACACAAAGAAGAATCTGAACAAACAAGCCATGTTAAGTTCCTCCCAGTTTACCTTTAAATCATACTCTCTTTGTCTGATCATAGTTCTCCATAACTATCCACTTATTCATCAAAGTTAGCATGAAAATACCTAGGTTTCTCTATTTATTTGGGTCTTCATTACCTTATGAAGGCTCCCATGTCGCATAAAACTTAAATACATTTCTATGCTTTTCTCTTATCAATTGTCTTGTTATAGGGGCCTCAGCCATGAACCTAGCAATGAGTGAAAAAAGAAATCTCTTCTTTCCTATACATAGTTTTCTGTTTTTGCACTTCTCCTCAATTTTTACAAATAGAAGTAAACCGTGTTCTCATATCTGCTCCTGCACTTAATCTGTTCCTGTATATTGTTTTGGTTGAAGTTTATAAAGAAAATTTGGCATCATAAAAGTATGTAGTTGGAAGAGTCTTTAATTGCATCTTCTGACAGTTGTGGATATTCTTTGTTAATACACTGAAACTATGCAAGCATTTGCTTGGAAAGATTAGTTGCAATGTGGAATCTGAAACCACATTAGTGAACTTTTTGCATTTCACATTAATGTATTGGTATATTTTGCAGTTTAAATGTGTTATTTGCCTGTGCATAATTTTGTACCATCATGCATTGTCATTTGGAAAATATTGATTTATTAATTATGCAAATATTCTAAATGTTAATGCATTTCTTTATATCAAAAATTATAACTATTAATATCACTATTGATCTTATCAGATAAGTCTTTAACTATTAGGAAGCTATCAAGCTCATGGTTGCAGGCATACTTTTTCCAAAATTCTAATTTTAGCTTGAAAGTTCTAATTTTATCAAATCAACAAATATTGATAGTTTTTTTGAAGGGTCATAATTACTTTTTTCATATTTAAGAAAATGCCTACTGAATAGCTAGATCTGAAAAACTATGGCTTTTTACTTTTTTTCCAAAGAAAGTGATTTATTTATTTATTTATTTATTTTAAGACGGAGTCTAGCCCTGTCGCCCAGGCTGGAGTGCAATGGCGTGATCTCGGCTCACTGCAACCTCTGCCTCCCAAGTTCAAGCAATTCACCTGCCTCAGCCTCCAGAGTAGCTGGGACTACAGGCGCCCGCCACCATGCCCAGCTAAGTTTTTTGTATTTTTAGTAGAGAAGGGGTTTCATCATGTTGCCCAGGCTGGTCTCTAACTCCTGAGCTCAGGCAATTCACCCGCCTCAGCCTCCCAAAGTGCTAGAATTATAGGCGTGAGCCACCGCGCACGGCCAGAAAGTGATACTTTTATTTCATGAAAATGAAATCTGAAAAGCATTAGCCAACCCACTCCTGAGCTCAGACTGCAAGGTTTACTTGCACTGACTTCGTAAAATGTCTAGGTCAGTTAACAACTTAAATAAAAGGGCTTCTCCTCAAGACTACTGTGGAATTTCACTAGGCAGCAGAAGTTTGTTATGTGTACTTCTTATTTTGGAACATAGAATATTACAAAGATATATACTCAAAGTTTGAAATGTAATAAAATTAATGTTCTTATATTAAGGGCATCTTACACAAAACAATTTTTTTTAAATCTGTGAATATCTGGTGGTAAAGAAGGTAATGGCTACCAGTAGAGTGGTGTTATCAATTTCACCCACCATTGTTCAATGTAAATTTCAATTCAGTAAAAAGGAAAATAATAAGTCATTATTATTATAAAAGCAGTTTTGACCTGTAGGCCTCTGAAAGAGGTTCAGTTTTTCTAGAAGCTGGAGGATCACAGTTTGAGATTTGATGACTTGTATTTTAGCATGTAGAGCCAGTAAAATAGCACGTAATTTCTTTCTGGTAAAGAACATAACCCTAAAATAATAGATTTATTTTTCTATAAAGCATAAACTAGTTTGTCTCTAACTTAGCAAACTTATTTCTGCATGCTTTTCCTAAATGACTATATAACCTCTGTTTCTCAGATTCTCTTGAATCAGCTGCACTGTTCTGTTAGTTCTTTCATTAATGAGTTAAATATTAACACTTACATGTTCCCACCATATATTTGCTTAAGAATTATGTCTTACCTCTTAAAAATTATGTTTTGACACCACTTACTATGTGCTGTTGAGTATGTGGTTTAAATTCTCTATGCCTTATCTGTCAAATGGAAATATTTATAGCTACTACATAGGGTTATTGTAATAAGCAAATGATTTAATACACGTACCACACTTAGAACAGTGTCTGGCATAGCATAAATACTGAACACTATATAAGTTTATCTATTACTCTTTATATTATTAAGAAAAATTCTCTAATAAATGTTTTTAAATAGACATCTCCTCCACCCTAGGAAAAAACAATTAATTCTCATGTGACTAGTTTTGAAAACATGAAAACAGTCCAAAATTTTAGCATTTATACAAATGTTTAAAATAAACCTAACATCCCAAAAGACTATCTTGTCCTTTCTCTGATACATAAGGTGAGGTGAAACCAAAAGAACTACAAAAATCTCTGTACTTGGTGATCTTTCCCCAAGAGCAAATGCTGTGTAAAATAAGCCCTATACTCAGCTGAGGTGAGTCAATGGGGTTTGGTTTTCAGATAACTCTCCCCTCAAGTCCTGCTTTGCTTCTGTTGACTCAGTTATTTGCCAATTATTGGATGAGTGCAAAACATCTGAGAATGACAGAAACAAACCTTCAGTGAAGTTATGCAGTTCCAGTCATGATGTAGCCAGAAAATGCACTGAAAATGGAATCTGAAAGGCATTAGCCAACCCACTCCTGAGCTCAGGCTGCAAGGTTTACTTGTACTGATATTCATAAAAATAGTTTAAGTATGAATCAGGGAAGAGTAACTATTTTAAAGCTGCCAATAGTTTCTTTTTATTGCTTGAGGTAGAGTGAAGTAGAGAGTTGAAAATTGTTAAAGTAGGAATATTTTGCATTTTGTTTTAAACATAGAATTTGTCATGGGGTAGATCTTTCCTTCCTTCCTTCCAAAAGGCATCATTTTAGCCAGTGTTTTCTAGCCTTGTAGATGCAAAGTCATTATACTGGCAAAAACAAATCCAAAGGCAGAGACTGCAGACTGAGATGTTATTCCATTATTGATTCAAACTGCTGTCTTGGCCTTTGCTGAGATGAGTATGGCTCTGTGTACTTGTTCTTTCTCTCCCAGAGGCCTGAGAGAGGGCAGGACTCCTGGACTTCATAAAAGAAAGGAACAGGGAGTAACTCAATCTTTTTTTCTTAAACTGGTCAATTTTTGTTTATTGATAGTTTTAAAAAGTTTCTTTCAGTGTTGTAACTTCATATTGTCAATGCCATATAAATTATTCAAATAGTTGCCAAATTTACAAAAACTTCTCTTCAGTTTGTTAATGTTTGTAAGATTTTAGAGAATTTCAAATTTTTTTGAACAGCAACTAATCTGAAATACTCTTTCAATTGATAATGCTCATTGATCAGTTTGTCAACAATGTTCTCATTTTATGATTTATTGTGAGTTTTATATTATCTGATATGTGTTTTGTCAAATCAAAAATGTAAAGCTTTTAAAATTTGTTCACATAGTTCCCTCCTCCCCACTAATGAAATCATTAAATAATCGAAGGACCTCCTAATACTTCTTTGTAAAATGTATCGTTTCGTCCAAATGACTGTTCCTTTTGGCATGATCCAAAAAATATTTTGTTACAATTTACTTTTTGTAGTTAGAATAATTTCTATCAATTTTGTTGCTCCTATGTATTGCTTCTGTTTCATATTTCATCTGACTTTTTTCTTTGAACAATAAATTGAAGGGTGAAAACATAAGGTACTCTTCATATATATCTAAACCAAGATTCACTTGTTTTATTGAAATGGTCCAAAATATTATTTCAAATTGCTATTACTTAGTGTAATCAAGTTTTGTCAACTTTGTGAATATCACTTATATACAGATGGTAGTCTTTAAAATGTTGAAGCACATTGCAAGAACTAGACAACTTTGTAACAAGCAGACTCTTATTTTTCATTTAGACTTGGTGATGAAAAATCAATATTAGAATGAGTCTTAGTCTGTTTTCTTTTGCTATAACAGATTACCAATGACTGGGTAATTTATAAAGAAAAGAAATTTATTTTTTGCAATGCTGAAGGCTGGGAAGTCTAAGATCAAGGGCCCATATCTGGTGAGGGCCCTCTTGCTGGTGGGGAATCTCTGCAGAGTCCCAAGTTGGTGCAGGGCATCACTTGTCAAGAGGGCTCACAAGAGAGAACCCAATTGGCTTTTATCACAGACCCACTTTCATGATAACTAACCCATTCCTTTGATAACCCATTAATTCACTAACCCATTAATCCATAAATTGTCCAATCCATTCATGAGCACAGAACCCTTAAATGCTCTTAATACATGAGCCTTTAATACACTTCTTAATAGATGAGTTTTAGAAGAAACAAACATTCAAATCGTAGCAGGATGTATATTGAAATAGAGAACAAACATTCAAATCGTAGCAGGATGTATGTTGAAACAGAGAACTATTTCAACTTTAGCTGAATCAATAAATACTTTAATAATAAAATAGTCAACCTAGAAGTAGCAACTTTGAGGCTTATGGGGGCAGATTTTTCTTGTGAGATTTAGGGAGTGATTTGCATGTGGCCATGTTCTTATCATAATGTGACCTTCAGCCCTGCTCCTTAGTGTGATGCTGCACAATAAATGAGCACAGTGCATTGGATGCTATTTCTCTACCAGGATGGCTAATATTCACTTGAATATGCTAAGAGACTTATAAATACTCCACTGAGAACTAAATGACTAAAAAGCTCATGACTACTTCAACACCTCCTGTATTAGTCATCTACTGCAGCATAACTCAAGACACAACAGGCCAGGCACGGTGGCTCATGCCTATAATCCCAGCACTTTGGGAGGCCAAGGTGGGTGGATCATTTGAGGTCAGGAGTTCGAGACTAGCCTGACCAGTATGGTGAAACCCCGTCTTTACTAAAAAAAATACAAATTTAGCCAGGAGTGGTAATCCCAGCTACTCGGGAGGATGAGGCAGGAGAATCACTTGAACCTAGGAGGCAGAGGTTGCAGTAAGCCAAGATCATGTCATTGCACTCAAGCCTGGGCAACGAGAGCAAAACTCCATCTCAAAACAAAATAAAACAAAAAAGACACAACAGCTTAAACAGCAAACATATTAGCTCATAGTTTTTATGGGTAAGGAATCTGAGCATGGCTTATTTAGATGCCTCTGTCTAAACATGTCTATGCAATCAACTTGTTGGCCAAAGCTGTAGAGTACCATTCACATCCAGGCTTACCTGGGTAACTGCTGGCAGGCCCCAGATCATTTCCAAAATTTACTCACATGGGCCTCTCCACAGAGCTTCTCCATGAAGTGGCACCTGACTTCCCTGGAGTGAGTGGTCCAACAGAGAATAAAAGAAATAACAGAAAATGGAAGCCAGTCTTTTTTATTATCCAACCTTATAAGTGACATCCATAACTTCTGCCATAGTCTGTCAGAAGTAGGTGGGTAAGTTCAGCCTACAATCAAGGGAAGGAGATTATACAAGGGTGTGCGTATGAAGCAGTGGGGATCATTGGGTACCATTTTAGGGGTATGAAATAGGTATGATGAAGGTAGGTCAGAATTTTTTTTAAAAAGTCAATCTTAAAAAATTGTGATGAAAACCTCTTACTTCTGAAAATCTTACAATAACATATGGCCATATGACCATGTTCTTAGAGGCTTGGAGGAGGCACAAGTGAGGGTTCCTGAAACTTCAGCCTCATTAGTTTCATGGCAAACCCCTTCTATCTACACTTCTCCTAGGGCAGTAGCTGGCACTTAGTAGACTCATGGCAAGTGATAGTCCCTGTTGCTAATATTAATATACTCCTTCTATTAACATCCATATATTTTCCAGCTAGGTATGGGCACCATGTATTTTCCAGGTAATCTGCTTTAAATTTTAAATTTTTGTTCTATTTTCTTGGTCCACCTTTCCCATTTTCCTGTTTAGACTTTACTATGTCATTCCATATGGTCCTTGGCTAAATTTTTCTCCTCAGTGATGCCACATGTTAGAACTTGAGTTGTCAGCATTTAGTTGAAAATTCTCTTCAGGGTAAAGAAAATGTGTAAAGTGAAGTGCACATGCTTATAATTTGAGAAAATCGGGGCCCTTCCAGTTTTTACTTGGTCTCTGAATCCCAAACTCATCAATCACCATTTTCTAGGCCATGTGAAGGTGGTAAAAGGAAAGAAATAATGTGAAACATCAGTGTTCTCACACTGCTATAAAGAAATATCTAAGACTGGGTAATTTATAAAGAAAAGAAATTTAATTGGCTTACAGTTCTGCAGGCTATGTAGGAAGCATGACAGCTTCTGGGGAGGCCTCAAGAAACTTTTAGTCATGGCTGAGGGTGAAGGGCAAGCAGGCACATCTTACATGGCCAGAGTAGGAGGAAGAGAGCGAGAGGTGGGAGGTGCTACACATTTTAAAACAACCAAATTTTATGAGAACTCTATCTTAAGACCAGCACTCAGGGGATAGTGCTAAACCATTCCTGAAGTGATCCAGTCACCTCCCACCAGGCCCCACATTCAACACTGGGGATTACAATTTGACATGAGATTTGGGCAGGGACACAGATGCAAACCATATCATTCTGCCTCTTGCCCCTCCCAAATCTCATGTTCTTCTTATATTGCAACATACCATCATGCCTTCCCAACAATCCCCCAAAGTCTTAAGTTATTCCAGCATTAACTCAAAAGTACAAAGTCCAAACTATTATCTGAGACAAGGCAAATCTCTTCTACCTATGAACCTACAAAATCAAAAAGTTAGTTACTTCCAGGATACAATGGGGGTACAGGTATTGGGTAAATACTCCTGTTCCAAAAGGGAGAAATTGGCCAAAAGAAAGGGATTACAGGCCCCAGGCATGTCCAAAACCTAGTAGGGTAGTCACTAAATCTTAAAGCTCCAAAATAATCTCCTTTGACCCAGTGTCTCACATCCAGGGCACTCTGAGGCAGGGGGTAGGCTACAAAGGCCTTGCACAGCTCTGTGTCTGTGGATTTGCAAGATTCTGTCCCACAGCTGCTGTCATGAGCTGGCATTATGATTCTACCATTCTGGGGCCTGGAGGACAATGGCCCACTTCTCACAGCTCCACTAGGCTGTGCCCCAGTGGAGATTCTGTGTGGGGGCTCTAACCCCACATTTCCCCTCCACATTGCCCTAGTACAGGTTCTCCATGAAGGCTCCACCCATGCAGCAAGCTTATGCCTGAACATCCAGGCTTTTTCACACATTCTCTGAATTCTAGGTGGAGGCTCTCAAGCCTCGACTCTTGCACTCTGCAAGAGTTTTGGCCATGGCTGGAGCTAGAGTGGCTGGGAGGCAGACAGCAGTGTCCTGAGGCTGTTCAGTGCCATGGGCTCTAGGTCAGGCCCACAAAACCATTCTTTCCTCCTAGCCCTCCCAGCCTGTGATGAGAGGGCCTGCTATGAAGATCTCTGAAATGCCTTGGAGACCTCTTTCTTACTGTCTTGGGTTTATACTTTTGAAAATTTCTGCAATAGCTGGAATTCCTTTCCAAAAAATTAACTTTTCTTTTCTATCACATGATCATGCAAAATTTCCAAACTTTTACACCCTGCTTTCCTTTTAAATATAAGTTCCAATTTCAGATAATTTATTTGCTCATACATATGAGCATAGGTTATTAGAAGCAGCCAGGCCATGTCTTGAACACTGCTGCTTACAAATTTTTCTCTCCAGATATCATAAATCATCATTCTCAAGTTCAAGGTTCTGCAGATCCCTAGGAAAAAGGCAAAATGCAGGCAATTGCTTTGCTAAGAAAAAAAGTGACTGTTGTTCCAATTCCCAATAAGTTCTTCATTTCCACCTGATACCTCCTCAACTTGGCCTTCACTGTCCATATCACTATTCAGCATTTTGGTCACAACAATTTAACCAGTCTCTCTAGGAAGTTCCAAACTTTCCCTCATCTTCCTGTATTCTTCTGAGCCCTCCACACTATTCTAATCTCTGCCCATTACCCAGTTCCAAAGTCACTTCTACATTTTTAGATATCTTTATAACAATGTCCTCCTCCTCAGTACCAATCTTCTGTGTTAGTATTTTCTTACACTGCTATAAAAAAAATACCTGACACTGGGTAATTTATAAGGAAAAGGAGTTCAATTGGCTCATGGCTCTGCAGGCTATACAAGAAGCATGATGACTTCTGGGAAGGCCTCAGGAAACTTTCAATCATGGCTAAACGCAAAGGGAAGCAGACATGTCTTATATGGCCAGAGCAGGGGGAAGAGAGAGGTGGGAGGTGCTACACACTTTTAAACTACCAGATCTTGTAAAAACCCTACAAGAACAGCACTCACAAGAACAGCACTAGGGGCATGTTGCTAAACTATTCATGAGAAACTGCCCCCGTGATTCAATAACCTCCCACCAGGCTCCACCTCCAACACTGGGGATTACAATTACATGAGATTTGGGTGGGGACACAGATCCAAACCACATCAATCAGTAAGTGCTTATTCATGGGCACTATTCCAAATGGGCCCTTGGAAAGTCCTCTTGATTGGATTTAGCTATTGTTATTAATGGCATACCTTTATATAATAAATTCCATGTCCCAGGCACTGTTGTCCTTTATCTGTATTAAAGTGCAAGGAACTGATTGTTTGTGTTTCCCAAATTCATTCATTAAAATCCTAACCTCCAATGTGATGATATTAGGATGTGAGGCCTTTGGGAGGTAATTAGATCATGGGGGTTGAGCCCTAATGATGGGATTAGTGCCCTTATAAAAGGGACCCCAGACCTGACATGGTGGGCTCATGCCTGTAATCACAGCACTTTGGGAGGCCAAGGCAGGCAGATTTCCTGAGGTCAGGATTTCGAAAACAACCTGGCCAACATGATGAAACCCTGTCTCTACTAAAAACACAAAAAAATTAGCCAGGCATGGCTGGGGCAGGAGAATCACTTGTACCTGGGAGGTGGAGGTTGCAGTGAGCCAAGATCGCGCCATTGCACTCCAGTCTGGGCAAGAGGAGCAAAACTCTGTCTCAAAAAAAAAAAAAAAAAAAAAAAAAAAATAGACCCCAGAAAGCTCTCTTGCCCTCTTTCTACCATGTCAAGATAAAACTAGAAGTTAGCAGTATGAAACTGGGAAGAAGGTCCTCACCAGAAACCGCCCATACCCTGATCTCAGACTTCCCTTCTCACAGCCTCCAGAACTATGATAAATAAATTTCTCTTGTTTATAAGCCACCCAGGCTATGGTATTTTGTTACAGCTACTTGAACTAAGACACTTATTTAGTCCTGATAGTAGTCCTGTGAAAGAGGTGCTATTACATCTACATTTTCAGATAAAGAACAGCTGCTCAGAGAGATAAGTAACTGGCCATCATCGCATAGTTAGTACTTCACAGGTAGGATGCAAACTCTGTCAATCTAGCTGTACAGCCCATGCCCCAACATAGTTCAATGAAAGATCACAAGGCCCATATTCCAAATAAAGGATGCCTGGCAAATTAGAGACAATGTTCAAAATTCTGAAATTCCAAAGCTCGTCACATGGCATATACTCATCAAAAGATATGTGACAATGTTTCTTTTTTACACCAACTGGATACTGATATAATCTGGCTCTGTGTCCCTACCCAAATCTCATTTTGAATTGTAATACCCACGTGTTGGGGGAGGGACCTCATGGAAGGTGAATAGATCATGAGGGCAGTTTCCCCATGCTGGTCTCATAATAGTGAGTTCTCATGAGATCTGAGGGTTTTACAAGCGTCTGGCATTTCCCTTGCTGGCACTCATTCTCTCTCCTACCGCCCTGTGAAGAGGTGCCTTCTGCCATGATTGCAAGTTTCCTGAGGCTTCCCAAGACTTGCAGAACTGTGAGTCAATTCAACCTCTTTTCTTTATAAATGACCCAGTCTCGGGTATTTCTTCATAGCAGCGTTAAGAACAGACTAATACAGAAACCACTAAGTTTGTCAACTTCCAAAACAAGTTCTTGCCCTATGGTGAGCTTCTAGGGTCTTTATCTGTGCAGGTATACAGGTCTCAGTACTGTCCATGTCTTGGACACAGCACCTTATCCCTTCCTCTCCTTCCTTTCCTATCTCTATCCTCCAAGCCCTTCAAGGTATTGCCCTCTCTTTAGCTCATACAAAGCAAAATAAATTATTCAGTTCCTTTTCTTTCTCAATAAAATTGCTTGACAAACATGAACAGTAAAACAGATCACTTGAGTTCTTGAGTTTAGACACATGAAAATCAGACTAAAGTATGTCTATGTTCTCAAGATTTCCTGGAAAGAGACCTCTTGCCTTATATGGACAGGGGACTTTCTGCTTTAATAGGAAAATTTAAATCATTAGATGAGTTCTCGGCCACTCACTCTGCTAGTTAAGTCTTTGTTGGCACATTTTGCTGTTTCTTTCCATTGTTTAAAACTGCAATATTTTATTTATTTTAAGAAATGTTGCAAAATTTCTATGCAAAACTGAATCTGGTACACTGTTTTTCTTGATATTCATAGATGAATGTTTGCTAGAGAAATATCTGAAAGAAAAAAACAGCTCTAACTATGCCTGCATCCATTTGTGGGAACAGAATTAAAATACAAATAAAGTGATGTTTATGGTTTCTGCTTCTTTTACTCTGTTTTCCTAAAACATGGAAGGAAATGAAGCCTTTTCCATGGTTTCAAAGACTCTAGAGAAACTTTTACATAATCACTGATTCTGACAGTTTTCCATAAATCTCTGAGAAAAACACAGGAAAAAGCTTCAGAGTGGATCCTTGGGGATACTGAACTTGGAAAGATGCCTGAGACTTCATGTGACTCAGTGGAGACACGTGTAGCTGATTTATCCACAGAATTACTTCTTTCCTGTGTGCTTTCTTGTATGTGGAAAGAACCTTCAGAGGGTTCTTTCACAACCTTCCACAAACCTTTCCAAAGGTTCTGGAATCAGGCAGAACTGTTCCTTGGAGACAGATGACACCATACTCCCAACACTTAAGTAGAGGAAAGCTATCTTCAAATTTTCCTTGGGCAGTGACAACCAAGACTATGAGCACTTTGGGGCTGTATGAATATAACACATTTCCTCATATAAAACATCTGTCTTTAGGGCCAAAATGAAATTTTCTCTTCTATTGCTTATTTATAGTGAACCTAAAAGATTTTAATGAGATCTTTTTAGTAACTGCTAAAATCATGTCCATCAAAAACATTCTTATTTCTTTGCATCAAAATCCATCCCCCAAACAACAGCACAATTCTACCCACAGCTCCTTTGAAGTTATCATTCTTTTCTTGCTCTAATTTCTGGATTCAGATAACTTGCTCAGTTTCCACATTTGACAAACTTCCTGTTTCACTTTCACTGCTGCTTCCAAATTTGTTTCTTATTCTGTTACAGAAATGGATGTGGCCACTTAAAAAATTGATGTGCTAAATACAATTCTGTTTTCATGGCTATAATCTTTGGGGTCTGTAACTCTTTATAAAATAGTATTTTCATCCCAGTGTTTGTCCTTCAAATACTATCTGGAGTTCTGCTTGTTTCTTATACACAGAAATGATTTTTTAGGGAAAATAATTGGGGGTCCATTAGCAAAATAGTTACTTAGCTGAGAATACGAATCTTGAATTTTAATAGCAGAAGCATGTCTGGGCAAAAGAGAACACTGCATTTGGAGACAGGATGGTGGGATTGGAGAAAGGCTAAGGGAATGGATCTATCTGTAAAAATGCCCAGAGGAGGAACATTTGGTCAGGCCAAACATGGGTTATCTCAATGGTGGGTGGTGCTGGGGAATACAGGTAGGGCATGCTCAAAACTTGCTGTGCAGATAGCCCTCCTGCCTGCTTAACCTTCTTGCATTGCAAAAGTAGGATTTTGGCTGGTGGGCAATGGCTAAGGCTGCTAGAGCCTGAGGGGCCAGGGCCAGGCAAGAGCAAGGAATGTTTTTTGCCAGAGCTTAGAGATTGGAAGTTGTGAAGCAGATGATTAGATCAGAGACTTAGAAATGGACCCAAGGAAAGAATACAGTTCTAACACCTGTTGCATGGATTTGGAGGAACAGACATAATGGTGATGGAGGGGATAACAATTAGTATACATTATTAGAATCAGACTAAGCAGCCATGCTGTTGACGCTGAGCTACCAATGCCTTACTGATCTTCCCCACCCCCACATCCACAGAGACACTTTATATAAGAAGAATCAATCCCTTCTTGAAAAGCACTAATAAATGTATCACAGTGAAAAAGTAAAAATGTTTGAAGAGCTCAGTGCTCTTCTCTTGTCTCCTGCCCCTCCTTTCAGTAATACCGACTTTTGCACCAGCACACATTGGTGCCTATTTCCAGGGCAACTTGCCAGTAGAGAATTTAGAAGGTAAGATGGGGCAAAGGCAGGAAAGATGCAAGAAAAAGAACATGTCCTGTAATGTGCAGGCTGTTCCTTTCCTCCTGTTCACAACCTAAACAGCATTCTTTTTGCTCTGCAGGAAAAGGAAACTTCATTCCTCTTCCTGATCCACTCCACGCCCACACATCTGCAATCCCAAACCAGTCAAGGAGGTACGCAAATGGAATTTACCACATGTTGAGTTGCTTCCCAGTAGGGTAAAGCAAATGGAAGCTGTAGCCCACAACTACAGCAAGTTAGGTTTTTCCAAGAGAGGTGAGGAGCTATTGTTATCTAAGAAGAACACTATAGCTTTGGGAAGTTGTTGAAGAGTTTTGCTGTGCACTAGACCCTACTTTGTGCGCACTGGGGTGTATGTTTGGAATTGTCTCAGCTTCTATGTTTCCACGTGTTTACAACTGCTGCGCTTCCATGCTGAGATCATGCAATGTGTGTTAACACCTACAATGAGTGTGTGAGCCCAGAGCAGCTGTCCAGCATGTGTTTCCAATGGTCTGGGGTATGTTCTAGCTGGAGCATGTCCACAGGAGTCTCGTAAAATGCTTCATGCTGTCTTTTCCTTTAGTTCTTCCTGACACCTGCATGTGGGAGTTGTGAGCTGAGTGTGTGAAATAGAATTGAAATGAAATCTGCCCTTTGAGTTCATGCAGGAGGTTCTTATGTGGGGGAAATGCACACGGAAACTTCTAGAGTCTTCAAATGAGGCAATATGCCAATAGGCCATTGAATTGTGGTCTTGTATGTGTAATGTTAAGGAATGGCTTCAATGGTCCAAACTTTCAAAATATGTTTGACCTACAATTATTGCCAAAATCCAGTAAGCATTGAGGATTGGGTTCTTTCTTGCCTGCTTGCCTGCCTGCCTGCCTTCTTTGGACTGCCAGGGACTTATGTGGCCCAGGGCCCTTTCAAGTTCTCTATGTTTCAGGAATGTTCTGGAAGCACTGGAATGTTATTTAGCAGCTGCTTCTTCTGGGGATATAGTGGTTTAATCACTAATGCAAATCTCCAAAGCATCATGTCTGACTGACTTGGAATGCCTAATTCCCTATTTCACCATGAAGCCAATATTTGAAATGTTTGTATGAAGAAAAAAATCTCTCTCTTTTAAAGTTGACTTTGAAATAGTATTGCAACATCTAATGATTTTGTGCAGCGACTATGTACAAGGCCTAGCTTGTGCAAAATGCCAGATCCTTGTTATTTTGGATCAGCTTTTGCAAGATTCTTTTAGCCCATTGCCCTGACCAGCTGGGATAATACTCTGCTTGCTGTCCCAGGCCAAAGGGCATGACTGTTTCATCTAGGGTGGCCTTCTGAGTAGCTGATGTAATTCAAAAAGACAGTTTTAATGGTCTAAACGCTGAAGCCATTGCCCTTCCATTCCCACACCCCACTGTCATTTATATATTTATAAGCTGTGCTCTATTCTGGAGTAACTTGAAACAAGATGTTTGAAACTTAATTATTTTGTGCTGATTCTCAAAAAGGAACTTAACTATTAATGAAAGAAGAGTTTTGTAAAGTATATATTTGTTTACACCATGAAGAACAGCAAGTTTCTATTAAAACAATTTAAAATGTAAAAGATAAAATGTGTCTAAAGGCCTCTATTCAAAAATGCATATAAGGGATTTTTGTGCATATGATGAAACAGTAACTTATAGCTTTGAGAAGACAGAGGAGTGAATTCTCTATTGCAAGGGTATCAAAAAGGTGATCATTTTGATATTCTTCAACAGGCACTGATTTATAGAAATACACATATATATATATAATTTAATAATAGTTCAATGTAGCACCTAGTTTGGCACAGATTTAATTATATACACTATAATGTGCTATATTTCTACTTAATCTCTGATTAAAATCAGCAACCATTTTGCTAATTCTTTTACTGCCCATGAAGATTTTTTTTTTTGGTCTAGTAGGCCTAATTTTCTACGAACATCACCACCACTGCCAGCAAACAGATGAATGGAAGAGAAGAACCTTCATTTAGTTCGCTATCTAGTTGATTTGTTTCCATAGTGACACTCACATATACACATTTACACACATGCACACACACGCAAGTGTGCACACTCCAAAATCTTTGATTTTGTGACTATAAATATTTGGATTGAAATAGTATTTTCCATTCCCTAGATATAGTTTAGTTAGAACTTGTCAGTTTACAATTTTTTTTTTTTTACACAAAAGGGGAGGAAAAAGATCTAGAGTAGGTATCTGCAGACTTTTTTGTAAAGAGCCAGATAGTAAACATTTTTGGCTTTGAGGGCTGTGCTGCCCCTGTGGCTGCTATTAAACTCTGCCATTGTAGTGTGAAATCAGCCATAGGCAGCGGGCCAGGTTTGTCCTACAGGCTATTCTTACTGATCCCTGATCCAAACCGAAAGGTCTATCTTGTTTTCAGGATTCCACCATACCCTATTGAAGGAAGATTTAGTCACTCCTTATTCTTTCCACCCTAGTTTTTCATTTGAGTCCCCACATATAGACTGAAGTAGGTATTTGAGGCAATTAACCTCATCAGTGATTCCTAAAGTGTGTTCCACAGAACATGTAATACTGAAAAATCCTGTTAAATTCACTTCTAATGAATTTTGGAATTACTACACACTATATCCCTCTAAAGGCTCAGTGGAAGTCTATCATAAAGCAACCTGTTTACCCCAGAGTCTCTCAGACTTGGAAACCCTTTTGAACATATGTCTATAAACATCCTGTAAAGGTAGTGTTCCAAAGAACCGGCATTGAGAATGCTGATATGCTGATCTAGATAACAAAGGCCTTTGAAATGTTCTGCATTGCTTGTTTGAATATTTCTAATAAACTTAAATTTCCTTTTGATTATCCCAATATCTTTTTTTTTTTTTTTTTTTTTTTTTTTGAGACAGGGTATGCCTCTGTGGCCCAGGATGGAGTGCAGTGGTGTGATATTGACTCACTGCAACCTCTGCTTCCTGGGCTCAAGAAATCCTCCTGCCTCAGCTTCCCAAGTAGTTGGGACTACAAGCCTGATCCATCACATCCGACTAATTTTTGTATTTTTTTTGTAGAGATGGGGTTTTGCCATGTTGTCCAGGCTTGTCTTGAACTCATGAGCTCAAGCAATCTGCCCGCCTTGGCCTCCCAAAGTGCTACGATTACAGGCATGAGCCACTGCTCCTAGCCTATTCCAATATCTTTTCATAGTCATTTATTTCATTATGTGGTTCAAAAATGTCTTGGACATCTAAAGTATTCAAAGAAGTTCCAGATCTTGTTATATATACAAATGACTTAAAGTCGTTAACATTTCAGTGAGGTTGATATGAAGGTAGCCTCACATATTACTTTCAACTCTGAGCCTGCTTAAACTTTATTATTTCAAGTGAAGGTCAAGGTGACAGTAGACTTTTTTAATTATGGGAAGCATTTATTTGCTCCACCCTAACACAGACTGACACAATAACACAATATTTCAAATTAGGCTAACCTGTGTGCAAAGCTCTAGGCTTAATACTTTAGATGTGTAAGGTTAGTGAATGTACACAAGATAAGTAGTTATTAACCACATTTTACAGACAAACTGATATTTAAAAGGTTATCAGCAACTTGCCCAAAGTCACACAGTTAACCAATAGTAGCAATGAATAGCTACATGTCAATTTTTTTCTAATAAAATATCTTCATTGGAAAATTATTTCAACTCTAACTAAATTTAATGAAATAATTTCATATATTTACATATAATGAGAAAACTTATCCATAAAAAAAGCACTGGTGTCAACTTCCCCACATGGAATTATTTTGGGATTAAAATAATCTAAATCATCCTTCTCAATTATATAAAAAAATTGTTAATTATATTTTAATAAGTTTATCACATTGATTTAGATCAAAGTTATTGATATTGCTCTATTTTTGTGAGCCAGATAAATACTTCATGGTTTCTTAAAATTCTTTTTTTATTGATATTTTCATTACATTTCTGTCATCAGATTTGAAATTGTAACTTTCTTTAACAGGAAAAAAGGTTTATCATTGTTTTACATATGTTTTCATCATGTATCACCTATGTTTATGTATGTTTTTATCACCTATAGTCAATATTTAGTTTTTATTTTTCATTACATGCTGGATTAGGAATACAATTTTACTTAGAATACTGTTCTATGGAGACATAAGATCGTCTCAAGAGTAATTCATTTTACAACATTGTGTCCAAGAGCATCTGAGGATAAAAACAGCAAAAAATATTTTAAAAATATATGCATGACTGTTTCAGTTTATGTATGTTAGACGAAAAGGAAAAAATAGAGAAATAGAAAAGTGGCTGTATTAGTTTCCAAAAGTTGCCATAATAAATTATCACAAACTGGGTGGCTTAAAACAACACAAATGTATTCTACACAGTTCTGAAGGTGAGAAGTCTGAAATCAAGGTGTCGGCAGGGGCACACTCCCTCTGAAGGCTCCGGGGAAAAATCCTTCCTTGTCTCTTGCAGCTTCTGCTGGTTGTCAGCAATCCTTGGCCTTCCTTGAACTATAGTAGCATAACTCCAATCTCTGCCTTAGTCTTCTCGTGGCCATTTTCCTTGTGTGTGGGTCTGTGTCCAAGTTTCCCTTTTCTTATAAGGACACCTACCAGTCATCAGGTTAGGGCTCACTCTAATCCAGTATAACCTCATCTTAACTTGATTACATCTGCAAAGACTCCATTTTCAAATAATGCTGTGTTCACGGTACTGGGTGTTATGACCTGACCATATCTTCAACCCAGAACAGTGGCTAATAAGGAAATACATGAGTTTGAAGAACGAGCAATTATTCTTCTCAAATAATGTTAATTCATGCCTCTATATTTAGCATGTTTTGAAGAATAATAATTTGCTCACTTATGTAGTCTTCTGTGACTCACTCTGACCAAGTCACACTGATACAGGATAGGCAAGCCCTAAAACTGAGGGTTCTTGGCTTCGCCCAGGAAAAGAATTCAAGGGTGAGCTGGTGGTGTTAAACAGCAACTTTTTTTGAAGCAGCAATATACAGCAGCAGAAGAGGCACGGCTCCTTGCAGAGCAGGGCTATCCTATAGGCAGTGTGCCCAGAGTAGCAGCTCAGAGGCAGTTCTGCACGCATATTCATGACCACTTTGAATTATATGCAAATTAAAGGGTGGTTTATGCAGAAATTTCTAGAATGAAGGAGGTAACTTCTGAGTTGTCGGGTCATTGCCATGGAAAGGGGCGGTAACTTCTGGGTGTTGCCATGGCAATGGTAAGCTGACATGGCACACTGTAGGTATGTCTTATGGGGAGGTGCTTCTGTCCCAGATCTGTTTTAGCTAGTGCTCAGTTTGGTCCCCTGTCCAAGCCCTACCTCTAGAGTCAAGTTCTATCTCCTACCTCAACGTTGTTGTAAAAGTGACACTGTATATGCAGCTAAAAATGCAAATCTCACACCACAGACACATACTTGAGAAATTCTCTCACTTACTACTTGCTGATCTTTAACAATAGCTTAAAGAACTACGAATAATTTGTTTGTTTGATTATTTTAACTGAACAGGTAATTCATGAACATTTTAAAACTTTGAATATCAAGCAAAAATTATATTGCCCAGCCATGAACTTCTGTTTCTTTCTTTTTTTTTTTTTTTTGAGACAGAGTCTCACTCTGTTGCCCAGGTTGGAGTGCAGTGGCAGGATCTCGGCTCTCACTGCACCCTCTGTCTCCCTGGTTCAAGCAGTTCTCCTGCCTCAGCCTCCCTAGTAGCTAGGATTACAGATGGAGTTTCACCATGTTGGCCAAGCTGGTCTCGAACTCCTGACCTCAGGTGATCTGCCTGCCTCAACCTCCTAAAGTGCTGGGATTACAAGCGTGAGCCACCACGACCAACCGTGAACTTCTGTTTCTGTTTCTCAAATAATTTCTCTTGGGACAATCACTGTTAAAAGTTTTTTGTACATGCACAATGATTTACGTGTATGTGTGTGTGTATATACACACATAAACCCCCCTTTTTAATACACATTTAAGCTGTATAGATTGTTCTCCACCTTTCTTTTCTCCTTGACAATTATTTCATATCAATGTGTATAGATCCTCCTGACATACTTAACCACACATGATATTTTATTACATGAAGGAGCTATAACTCATTTCATATTGTTAAATTGAAAGTTTCCTTTTGTTTTGGTTTGTTTTATTGTCTCATTCATTGGGTCTTCTGCTGGTTTGTTTCTAGATAAAATGCTACAACAAATATTCTCGTATGTGCTTCCTAAACGTATCTGCAGGTGTGTCTACAGAATAAATTTCTGAAAGTAAAATTGCTGGGACAAAGGATATATAATTTTCTGTTTTAATAAATGTTAAAAACTGTCTTTCAAAGGAATCGTGACAATCTTCTGTTGCAGCACCAATGTGTGAACGTTTCTATTTTCCAATGATCTTGACTCAAATGGTATTTAGTACTTTCATCTTTGCCAGTTTGATAGGCGAAAAATTAAATCTCATTTATTTTGCATTTTCTTAATCATAAGTCTAATTGACCCTTTAAAAAATCTATTTTAAAGCCACTTGGATAGTGAAATGTGTATTTATATTATTTTCTCATTCTTCTATTGGGCAGTGATCTTTTTTGAAATTATTATTTACAGGGCTCTAACAAACATTAAGACAATTATTTCATCATATGTGTTGCAAATAACTTTTCTAGTTTTTCTTTTGACTTTTCTCATTCCAAAATGTTTGATTTTACCAATCCATTATTACTTTTGCTTTGTGACATGTTTTGAGAGATGTTTCCCCTAATCTAAAATTATATATTTAAAAAATTCTCCCATATTGTTTTTATAAGTAATTTAATTATGCTCAACAATTTGATTTTCCTGAATTGATTGTGGATTAGGAAATGAGGGGAGGATACATTAATGGAGGGGAACAGGTGTACAAAAATTAAAACATATAAATTTAGAGCAATTAACATAGTTTGCATGAATCAATGAATAAAAGACCACAAAATATGTAAGAATTTAATACAATCAAGGAAACATTTCCAATTCTTACATATTTTGTGGTCTTTTATTCATTGATTCATGCAAACTATGTTAATTGCTCTAAATTTATATGTTTTAATTTTTGTACACCTGTTCCCCTCCATTAATTTTTCCCCAGATTTTTATGGTTATCCATGCAGGCTTTTTATTTTTGCCCTTTATAAACTTAAGATTCAACTTTTCTATTATGCAAAAGAAAAATCTGATTAAATTTAAAATAGTTTTCCTCTTAAGCATATATATTATTTTAGGAAAAACTAATGTGGTTATAATAACATAAAAGAAGATAATCTAGACTGCTAGCTTAAATTTTTTATAATCTCCTTGTTGCCATTACTGTCTTTTTAAAGATCACACCCATTTGTTAAGTTTATTCCTATGTATTTACTATTTTTGATGCTGTTGTAAATAAAATACTGTCTCACCATGAAATTTTCAAACTGATTACTTTTACTATGAAGAAAATTTATGTCTAAATCTTTATCAGATTTGTAATGTCAATAGACTTAATGTTTTATTATATGTCATAGTTATTACTTGTGTCACTTGGCTTTCCAAGTATACTATCATACCATCTACAGATAATTATAATATTCTTTCTTACTTTCTAATTTATTACAATGCTACTTATTTTTGTTCTCTTTTTAAATTGTATTAATATTTCCAGAACAAGGTTAGGTAAAACTGGTAAAAATGAACATCTTTGACTTGTTTCTTACTTCTATGGGACTTTGCTTAGTATTTTGCCTTTCAATCTGACATTGAATTTAGGCTTATAAACTTTGAAGAAAGTAACGAAGATAATCAATATATTCATATTTTATGGAGGATTTTTCAAAAAACAATAATGAAAGCTTAAATTTTTATGTCTTTTTAGTATCTATATATATATTTTTCTTTTTGATATAGTAATATGGTAAAATATTTTACTACATTTACTAATATTGCATTATTCTTGAATTCCTGATATGACTTCTTAGTATATCATTCTTTCCATGTATATTCTATATGCTAACACTGTATTTAATATATTTTGCCTAGATATTCACAAGGGAGGCTGGTCTATAAGTCTGTATTACTGTGCTCTTTTAGATTTTTATGTCAATGCTTCATTTGATTTATAAAAATATCGTGTGCTCTTTTACTCTCTATGCACCTCTTTATTTTGAACACCATTAGAACTATCTCTTCCTTAAAAGTTTGGTAAAATTTTCTTGTGAAATGTCTTGCACTTCTTATAAAAACTAATTTTATGGCCGGGCATGGTGGCTTATGCCTGTAATCCTAGCACTTTGGGAAGCAGAGGCAGGCAGATCACGACGTCAAGAGATCAAGACCATTTTGGCCAACGTGGCAAAACCACATCTCTACTAAAAATACAAAAATCAGCTGGGTGTGGTGGTGCACACCTGTAGTCCCAGCTACTCAAGAGGCTGAGGCAGGAGAATTGCTGGAACCTGGGAGGTGGAGGTTGCAGTGAGCCGAGGTTGCACCACTGCACTCCAGCCTGGCGACACAGTAAGACTCCGTCTCAAAAAAAAAAAAACAACTAATTTTATGGACATGAATTTTTTATCTTTGACCCTAAATAATAAACTTACTAATGGTTTCTCTTCTTTGTATATATTTGACCCAGTTCTGATTTTGACATATTTAAGCAGATAATGTTAGAGACTATAATGTTACTGATATTTAGATAAGTGAAATCTTTCAAAGTGAAATGCAGCTAGCAGACATCCTTCCTGTTTTTGAATTGACTCTCATCACCATTTGAAACAATGTAATTATTTTAAAGATTATCATTAACAGAGTTGATGTTTCCAAGTTAACTTTACTGTCATGTGATTAGTCATATTAAACTGTTTTTGTGTAAACAAGCAAAAATGTGCACATATTATTCTCTTAGGTGTTATAGAAAATTAAATTTGTGTGTCAAAATAATTACTGGCCAGGCGTGGTGGCTCACGCCTGTAATCCCAGCACTTTGGGAGGCTGAGGCAGGTGGATCACAAGGTCAAGAGATCGAGACCATCCTGGCCAACATGGTGAAACCCTGTCTCTACTAAAAACACAAAAAGTAGCTGGGTGTGGTGGCACGTGCCTGTAATCCCAGCTCTTCAGGAAGCTGAGGCAGGGAAGTCGCTTGAACCTAGGAGGTGGGGGTTGCAGTGAGCCAATATCACACTGCACTCCAGCCTGCCAAAGAGCGAGATTCCGTTTCAAAAAATAAAAATAAAAATAAAAAATTATTGTTTAGTTCTAGTCTTTGGTGCTATTTATTAAAAAGTATAAAGTGTATGTTATAATCCTAGCTGTTAATGTTAATATTGAAGATTGAGATGAAGAGAGTAAAGGTAGAAGACTTTTTTAAAAATCGACTTCCTTTTCTCCTTATCTTTCTTTACAATACATTTAACTTACAAAAGATAAGAGATAGCTCACACCAAATTATATAATATTAGAATTGAAAGGGAACTTACACATCATCTGCCCTAATAAAACCATTTTATAGATGAAGAAATTGAGGCCAAGAGGCCACTGATTTGATTATATGATACTCATTCTGCTTCTACCTTGAGAAAACAGGCATTCTGTGTCACAGAGTAACATTCTGGGGAGCAGCATTCCTCATAAGGGCAAATCTAGGGTTTTTGGGGACTTGTCTTAGTCCATTTTGTGCTGCTATAACAGAATAGCACAGACTGGGCAGTCTATAAAGAATAGAAATTTATTACTGACAGTTCTGGAGGCTGTAAGTGCAAGAACAGGCACTGGCATCTGGTGTCTAGTGAGGGCCTTCTTGCTGCATCCTCACTTGGCAGAAGAGCAAAAGAGAGTAAACCCAACCTGAAATCTTTTTTAATAATGGCATTAATCCATTCATGAGAGTGGATTCCTCATGACCTAAACACCTCTCTTTAGGCCCCACTTCCCAACACTGTTGCATCACAGATTAAGTTTCTAAAACATGAATTTTGGAGGACACATTCAGACTGTTGCCCATCTCAATTTTCTACAGTTTGGAGGCTCTCTTTATGAGTAAGAGCATCTTAATTTGCAAATATAACAAAAAACACGTTAAATAGAAATTTAATTGGGAGGCCATTAGGCTGAGATAGCTCAGCACCTTGGGATACTAAATAAGCAAACTGAAGAACAACGTAAACAGTAAAACAAAACTTAAGCTTTACCAAATAGAAACTTCCAACTACACTTTAGGGACTTTTCACTTTAACCAATCAAATATATTTTCTTCATTTTGCTTCCATGAACACCTTATAAAAGTTTCCTTTTTGCCCCCACCCCTACTCTCATTGAAGTCCTGAACCACTTGTGGTCTGTTACTGCCCAGTTCATGAATTGCTATCTGCTCAAATAAACTCACCGAAACTTTAATGTGCCTAAGTTTACCTTTTAACACATATGGCCATGGCATTGCTAAAGACTGCCAAAGACCCTTAGAGGGGCCAATGCACATACACAAGAGAAAGCTCTCACTCTGCCCTTTCTTGGCTTCATAGTGAATTTACCTCTGCTTCATAGCATTTCTGTAAACACAAGTTTAATTTTCTTTAAGCTAGCATCTGAGCAACAATATCAGTAATGTCATTTTTGAGGTTCTTCCTACATCAGCCCAGGACTTTTGTTGTAATTTCCCACAGAAATTCTCCTAAGCATAATCTAGATTTGAATTTTTATTTTAGATGTTCTTAGATAATTCTTCAAAGTCCCAGTCTATAGGTAAGACTTCATTGAGAGAAACTATGCATATTCATTCTGTTCAAGATCTTGCCCTCTTTAGGTTATTTTTTCTAGAATTCTTGAATGTAAAATGGATGCAGTCCCCAGTTGGTGACATATTCACATACCCATTCATCAAGCTGATGTCTCTCCTATTCATTTCCATCTTCCAGACAGGCAGGGCTACCTGAACAAATAGCGCTAAATCCCATTAGTACTACTTTTTACTCCATAATAACATCTGCAGTGAATTTAGCTTCCACTGACATGTAGGATGATATATGAGTCATTGAACAGCAGAAAGATATGCTCCTGGCTTCTGTGTAAAGATGACTTTAAATCCTGGGGTTAGCTATTTACTCTTCTGTAGGAGAGAAATGAGTGGATACACAAGGAATAAATAATCCCCATCTATTTTCAGTCCTAACAGTGAAGATTATACACACACACACAAACACACACATACACACATAAAGAGAGAGCTTTCAATACATCAGCAAGAAGAGCAGGGCAATTTTCATTGATTGTAAGTAAATATGTCTCATTTTTGGAAGTGCTGTTCTGATTCTGAGAGATCTATACCTTGTGTTTTCTATAGAACTTTCTTGGCAAAATTCGAGGAATTAAACTGTCTCCTGTTTCTCTGCTTTCCTGTTTATTTTCTTTGTTAAAAGAAAGCATTTATTAAGGTTTCATTGTATTTTTTAATAAATACTGTGCCAAACTATGCCACTTGATGGGTAGAATAACAAATTTGATCTGCCATTGGGACTTTAGGAACAGATTTCTACAGAACTATAGGAAGACAATGCAGCAGAGTGAAAAGGATTGGGCCCTGAAAAAAGTAGGCCTTACACTGAACCCAGTCTCTGCTATTTACTATTTGTGTCACCTTGAACTAATCAGTTAACCTCACTGGAAATAAAAATTCTTCCAACCTGGAAGAGGGGTGGGAAGGATTAGGGACAGTACGTAAAATTCCTTATACATAGTAAGTTCTCAGTAACAGTGCTATTATATGGTAATCTCATGCTCCCGTGCTTAGAGCCCGTGGGACAACTGACATCCCATTCATATTAATTAATACTTGAGTTACACTTTCTGGACCAGCTCACCCTGTCTTCCCTCAATAATTCCCTCAGTTATTGCTGGAAATTCCCAAGGCCATGGTGTTGAATCTGAACTAAGAAACAAGTCCGTACATGTTCCTCCACTTACCAATGTCTTACACCCCTGCTTCTTCTGCCAGTGACTTCCATGGAAACACACTACCCCATCAGGCCCAGCCTCTGCTGATACTCGTTCTAAGTGTGGATGCCAAAAGCACAATGAGGGATGGAGTGATAGAGAGGAAGAACATGGCAGTAGTTGGGACTCTTTGGGTTGTAACAAAATAATTCAATACAAACTTGTTCATACAAAAAGACATGTATTAGTGGGTATCACAGAAGTCATTAGGCTATTTGGCTTCAGAAACAACTCAACCCAATAATTCAGAGTGCCAACAGGACTTTGTCTCTTCCCATCCTCTCCCCTGCTTTTCTCTCTGTAGATTTCACTCACAAATAAGCATTTTCCATAGGGTAGTCCCCATAGCTTCAGGATTAAATCATCTACATCCTATGTATAAAAAACACAGAACTACTCTTTATCACTTTTCCCAACAAAAGACCTATAAATATGTCCCATTTGGCTTGGTTCCATTTGTTTGTCTGTCTGTGAACTAATCAATGTGAACAAGAAGAGATCCATGTTTGCGTCCTAAACCCTAAACCCCTGGATCTGTAACATGGTGTCAACTCCACCCAAATTCCACTGATGATGAATGGGAAAACTTTCCTGAGATGCCTTTACCAGAAGGGTGAGTTGAGGCTGGACAGGAAAAAGTATGAATATCCTCTTAAATTGGTACTCTTAACACCTTGAACTATAATGCTTATGCCAGTATAAAGTCTTACAAAGTCTTTTATCAATATAACTGTTCAGTCTGAAGCTCTAAACCCTCTTTCTATGCAAACCCATATCCAGTCCCTAGGCCAGCAGGGGCACAGATGTTATCCTAACCAATCCCACCATTGCTCCCTTCTCTTCTATTTCTAAGCTCCTTTGAACTGCCATACACAAAATTTCCTTGAGCCAAAAATATAAATCCCCTGTGTATCTCAACCAATGGTTGTATACTAAAAGTGGGTCAATTGTCAGTCAGTTAGGCAAATATCAATAGAGTTTGGGCTGATTTAGGCTCTGCTTCACCATCATCCCTTTATTATTATTATTGTTGTTATTTTAGATGGTTGATTTTCCTATCCCCACATTTTGTTCTATTGTATGTTAGATCAGGCATGGAGGTTTACCTAAAAATCTTAGCAACATCTAGGGAACCTGAGGGAGTGAGAACAATTGCTTATAGAGGCATGGGTGATATAATTATTAATATAAAAACAATAGCCACCATTACTGTAAGCTAAGCTCCTGGATAGGAGGTTTTCATATGGATACCTGTGCAAGAGGAGTGCAGCATTATGAAAGTGACTTAAATCATCTGATATTTATTCTATCACTTCTGTACCAGGCTTCCATTTCACTGGGGAAACAGAAACTAAAGCAGCTTGCCTGGCTCCTCTTCCACCTTCAGAAATAGAACAGAAGCAATATCAGCTACATTTACATTGCACCTGACTCCTAAAACACAGTGTAAGGTGTTAGAATGGATTAGTTCAAGACAGACTGGGAATAAAATTCTCACTCTTCCGCATTCTCAGAGATAATATTCCCAAGCCAAAGAGGAGAATTGAGCTCAGTCAGTGGACTATTTAACAAGGACTACATTTTATTTCCCAAAGGCTGAATTCCATTGACTTAGAAAAAGACTTAATCCATGACATGATTGCTTTCATAGCAATGTTCTTTTCGGTGACCATGGTACATGAATCAGAAACTTCAGACAGTGCGAACTCATATTCCAACAGAGTGTGACTAGTGATGGCAACAGAATTTGATATGACCTCCTTATTCAATAGGCTCTATTTACCTTATGCTTCAAACAGGAACCTTCCCTCCAGGGGTAGAAACTTGGAAATGCCCTTTTCAATAGGGCTATTTTATAAGAAGCTGAAAACAGACTCAACTAAGTTCCTCAGCTGTGTCTGATTCTACCACAATTATATAGGCATAGTAAAGTTTATTTATACATTTCAAAATGCCAGAATCAGAATAATGAGATTATTACATTTGAGGGACTTGTTTTTTTTCCATCTTGGAAATCTCAATATACAGACGGTAGTTCTTAGTCTTATTGTAAAATATAAACTCAATTTAAATGTATTTCATAAGAATGGAGGAAGAAATTACAGCTTATAGAATAAATAAATTCTCTAGCTCTCTGTTTGATTAGAGAACTCCAAGACCTCTGAAAGTTCTGTTGCTTTATAAGTATTTTTGCAGTCAATAATTTGAATAAAAATTTATGCTCAACCCAAATGTAATTGCTAATGTATTGGAAATTATCAATAGAATATACTGAAAACATTTTGCTTTTAATGGCATGTGTAACTCCAAAATTGTAAATATGTAGTTAAGAAAATGTTGATGTGTATTGTCAGGAATAACAGGAAAGCCTAAATTCTTGGCCATGCTTGGTTACAAGAAGAAAATCTCAGAGCCTTTCATAATTGGCCTCTTGTTTCTGACAAAATATCTTAATCATATTAACTGAGAGTTCTCAATCCCCTGAATGCTTTTACAATTTAATGGGGCTGAAAGTATTATATCAGCAATCATTTGTTGTTTTTTCTGTCATATGTATGTGAATGTGGTATATATTAAAAATATGTAATTTTAAAAATTAAGAACCATTTCTTTAAGAGATGATTGATTAGCAGTTTCACAGAAATCTGTTTAGGCAACGTGGCTGCAGTCAGAATCAAATTTTTAGTTGATTGACCCAGTGCCCAAAAGTTTTAGCCCTTTGGTGAAATGCCCAGGTTAAATGGCCATTTGATTGAAATACATGACTGAAAGCATTAGGGATTTGGCAAAGCAACAAGATTGACAGCATGACACTCTCACATACATAAAAGAGGCAGAATAAAAAGATACATGTGGTTGGCTTTCCATCCAAAACAGAATTTTAGTCTCAAGTGGAAGGACAGCCAGTGCTTTCCCAGAGATAAAAAGGAAACATCATCTCATTCCCCTAAATGGAGTCATTGTTTAACATACACAGATGCAACACCACCAAACACACAAACTTACAGGCCAACAGAGGAAATGATTAAACTTCTGGCCCCAGGAAACAATTGCACACAGCCTCTTATTTTTATTTATTTTATTTTCTCTTAGCTGATTCACACTTTGTAACACTGTAGCCAATGAGTCTTCTATGTCTTTTACAAACCCCCTGGTTAAATTGGCAATACCTTTGACAGAGCTTAAATGGCTTGACAGCATTAATTTGTTCTTTTATTTTTTAGTTGTCTGAATGGCTGATTGCCAGGAATCAATCATAACACCATGTGGCCAACCTAATATAGTAATTATTCCAAAATAGGAATTGCATGATAAGTTTATTAGTAACTAGTCTACAAACAACCCATTCTTGCAACCACACAGACTCATCTCAAGATAGAGGTAGTGCTTGGTATTTTCTGAAATTAATTACTTCACTTTAGTGATGGGATTGGGTTTTTTTTCATATTCAAATTCATTGATTTATGTGCAGTCTTTATCAATTCTGTTTAACTACTTTCTTTTGTTTTCTTTTGTTTTGTCTATTAGATTTTAAATTTACTCAGTTGAACACTTAGAGTGCTTTTACATAGTTTTTGCTTAGCTCTTTTTACTTTTAGAAAAAAAAAAGCACAGCTCGCTGCCAGCATTCATTTAATTTTTTGTAAACGCGCTCTTTGAAGCTGAGGCAAATCTGATTTTCATTGTGAAAATAAAATATAAAAACTGTATTTGGAGTTATTTATAAACAGAACTAATGTCAGAATCATCTATTTTGGAATAATCAGGTTTATCAAATAAATCTTTGGCCAACTACTGTTTGAGAATGATGGTAACATCACACATAGGGATGCTATGTTTTCTAAAATTTGATGTTTTCAGCAATATAGAATTACTATATTTTTTAAATGGAAATACTACTACTAAAAACAAAATGCTATAAAAAGAATGATGTCTTTTGTTTCCAAAGTCAATACTAGAGCAATGTGAAAATAATAATAAAAGTGAGATAGTTCATGGCAAAGTTATCTAAGGGTAAATGCTGCAGCCACAAGGGGCCACTGGTGAATATTCTTGGGGCAAAAGGGAAAAGGGTTAATTAAAATAGACTATAAAATTGTGAACATTCCCCTCAGTAAGGTTTTAGCTATCTTCATAGTTTTGTTTGTTTGTTTGTTTGTTTGTTTGTTTGAGATGGAGTCTCACTCTGTCACCCAGGCTGGAGTGCAGTGGTGTGATCTTTGCTCACTGCAACCTCTGCTTCCCAGGTTCAAGCGATTCTTCTGCTTCAGCCTCCCAAGTAGCTGGTACCACGCCTGGATGATTTTTATATTTTTAGTAGAGATGAGGTTTCACCCTATTGGCCAGGTTGGTCTTGAAATCCTGACCTTGTGATCCGCCCACCTCAGCCTCCCAAAGTGCTGGGATTACAGGCAAGAGCCACCACGCTCAGCCTATTTTCATAGATTTTGATAAGAAGTGTTCTCAAATTCATTTTCAACAAATAAGTAATTTGTAATATCTGTATTATTTTCCTCTTTCATCTGAGAGTTATTTAGATTAGTGACTTTAATATTTATTGCTGGCTTAACTATTCTTACTAATTTTTTTATATTTTGAAAATAAAGAATATATAAATCTTTTAATAAAGGACTTATCTTCATTAAAGCATACTATACACACAGGAAAGAGAAGAAATCATGAGGGCCCAACTTATTGAACTTCGTTACTTTATAACAACATAAATATGTCTGTGTAACCATGGCTTATGTCAAAACACAGCAGCAAAGCATTCCCCTTCTCTCCTCCCAAGGGTAGCCAGTATTCTGACTTAAAACACCATTCAGAACGCTATGTAAATTGAATCACACAATGTATATTTTATGTATCTATCTTTTTCTGATATTAGTTGATTATTGATTGATATTAGTTGTTGCTTTAAACTGTACTCTGTTCATTTTTATGGCTTTGTAGTATTATGTTGCATGAATTAAACAAAATGCATTTAATCTGATGTTGATGGGCATTTCTGCTGTTTCCTTTCTTGGAACTATTTCAAATAAGGTTGCTATGAATATTCTTGTACATGTGTTCACATTAAAGTGTGAATAAATTTGTTTTGGCTCTATACCCACAAATGAAATTGCTGTGTCAACTTTTATAGAAAACATTGAAACGTTCTCCAAGTGATGGTACTACTTTGCCCTCTGCAATAAATGAGTTATCCATTGCTCTTCATTTTCATAATCACTTTTTACTTATTTTTTTAAATTTTCATTATTTTAGAGAGTATGTAATGTTTTCTTATGGAGGTATTAATTTGCATTTTCCCAAAGGACTTAGTGAGGTTGAGGACTTTTTAAAATACTTACGGGATGCCTGACTGTCCTGTTTTGTAAAATTTTTATTCCGTTTTCTTGCTTATTTGTTAATTGAGTTGCCTCTGTTATTCTTAAGGATTTGAAGTATTGTGTGTATGTGAGAGAGAGAGTGCAAGACAGTGTGTGTCTGCGAAGGACAAAAATACTTTGCTATATTTTTGGAAAACATATTCTTTCACTCTGTGACTTTTGTTTCTACTCTCTTAAGGTCTTTTGATGAAGAGAAGGTCTTGAGCCAAATGTATACCATTTCATCAATACTTTATGGTTTCTACTTGTATGTACTTTCAAAGAAATCTTCATCTCCTTCACAGACATATAAGTATTTTTTTCTGTTGGTATTTTCTAGACGCTTTATTGTTTTACCTTTTGCATTTAGATGATGTGAGGTAGAGGTCCATTTTCATTTTTCCAATTGGATATCCAATAGATTATGCACCATTAACTGACAAGATTGGGGTAAAAGACGGGACTTTGAAGGCTGGGCTCAGACACTGAACCAAATTAAGGACTATCTAAAACAGGTTGAGCAGAAACAGCTTTCCATAAGATGTGCCCACCAGGGGCCATGTTAGTTTACCATTGCCATGGCAACACCCAGAGGTTTTCAACCCTTTCCATGGCAATGACCCAATGACCCAGAAATTATCACCCTCATTCTAGAAATTTCTGCATAAACTACCCTTAATATGCATATAATTAAAAGTGGGTCAAATATGAGTGCAGAACTACCTCTAGGCTGCTATTCTGGGCACACTGCCTGTGGAGTAGACCTGTGTCATAAGAAGCAGTACATCTGTTGCAGCTGTGCACTGCCACTTCAATAAAAGTTGCTGTTTAACACCACCTGGTCACACTTGAATTCTTCTCTGGGTGAAGCCAAGAACCCTCCTGGGCTAAGCCCCAATTTAGGAGCTTGCCTGTCCTGCAACAAGATCATTGTTTCCTCACTGCTGGGTGGTGCCATCCTCGTCATAAATGAAATATCCCTTTATGTACAGATCTGTTCCTTGACCCTCCATCTGGTTAAGTGTTCTCTTTTTCTGGTTAAGTGGTCCTTCCACAACTTTTAGCATTATTTAATTTCTACATTTAATATCTTCTGGAACAACTTGTAGAATAAGTTCTTCTCTTCATTTTATTTTCATCTTACATTTCCATATGTATTTTAGAATCTGCTTGTCAAATTCCAATAAATTTTGTTGGGAGTTTGTTTGGATTGCATCAAATCTAAAAGTCAGTTTGAGTAGAATGGACTATACAAGATGAACATGGTATATCCCTCCCTTTATTTAGGTTTTTATTAATTTCTATTTATGTTTTATAGTTTTCTCTGTGTTGACATTTTGCACGTTTCCTAAGTCTTGTTTCCACAAAATTGATGTGGATGCAATTACTAATGTACATTCTTAAAATGCAACTTACTGATTATTATTGATATATGGGAATATCAATGTTTAAAATTTTTACCAGGTATTCATTAACTTTGTTATACACATATTTTCATTTTTCTATATGCATTATCATGTTGTTTTCAATAATGATTTCATTTCTTCTAATATATATATTTTTCTATTGTATTCTTATACTACATAGGTCCTCAGAGCAATGTTAAACTGAAGAGATTATTGTGAGCATCCTGTGTCTTGGGGGAACTCTTTCAATATTTCACCATTAAATAAAATATTTACTGAAAAGCTTTAATGCAATTAGGTAAAATTCATTTTACTCAAGTTTGATAAGAATTTTTATTATGAATAGATATTGAATTTGATGTGTGAATTTAGTATATCTTCTCAGCTGATTGTTTTTAAAAAATCCTTTATTCTGTAAATATTATGAACAAAACAAGCCTGTCTTTGTGATGTATCACCATTTTTTATAATGCTATCGTTATTATTATTACTTCACCATTTTGCATCTATTTTTGTGAGGGTGATTGGCCTATAATCTTCCTTTCCTAGAATTTGCTTATGAAGTTTTAGTGTGAGGATATGCAAGTCTCATATAATGGGGTAGTAAAAAAATTCCTTTTTTTCTATTCTCTTAGTTTATATAATATTGACATTATTTCTTACTTAATATTTGACACAATTTATCATGATTGGCATCTGGAATTTTCCTTAATAGAAACATTTTTCATTAAAGATTTAATTCCTTTCATAATTTTAGAACTAGTTTTGATAATTTATTCTTGTGTCGGATTTTAAAAATTGTATCATCCTAAGAATTTATTGGCTTATAATATCTTCTTATTGCTGTTTCAATATCAACTTCATCTGCAGTGATGACACATTTTTACCTCTGGCATTATTAGTGCCTCCCTATCTTTTTAAAAAAATTAATGATCAATATTGCTGAATTTTATCAATTCTATTAGCTTTTCCAAAGAGTTAGCTTTCAATTCCCTTCTTATTTGTTTTTCTATTTCTTATCTTATCTGCATCTGATGTTAGCACTTCTTTCTTTCTACCTTTTGAAACTTAATTTTCAGTTCTAGAGATGGAGGCTCAGTTCATGAATCTTCAGTCTTTTTTTTTTTTTTCTAAGATACTAACTGAAGAGTAAAATCTTCCTTCTTAAAGCATGAATTTAGTTTCATTACACAAGTTCTGAAACGTAGTATTTCTATTTTCATGCAATATAAATTATTTCTAATTTTATTTTTAATCCATTTGTTATTTAGAAGTATGTTGCTTAATTTCCTAGCATATCGGACTATCAAGTTATCTTTCTTCTCTTTATTTTTCCCTTAATTTTACCCTTGTCAGAGAACATTTTCTGTATAATTTCAGTAATTTGAAATTTTTTGAGACACATTTTCTGGTCCAACATGTGGTCATTTTTATCAAATGTTCTGTGTGCTATTAAAAAGAATTAATATTATGCAGTTAGTGCAAGTAAGTCACAACTTAATACATCATTTGGTCAAGTTTTAAAATCATGTTTAAATCATTTATCATGGATAAATTTTTTTCTGATTATTCTATCAATTAGTAAGAGAGATACATTAAAATCTCCTACTATCATCATGCATTGCCTGTTTTTGTTCAGTTATTTTTTGCTTAAGGTATTTTAAAACTGTTGTATTACTTTCTCTTGACTAAGTTAGAATTGTTTTAACTTCCCAGCAAATTAAAATTTATCAAAATGAAATATCCTTTTTTATTATTCGTAGTTTTTATCTTAAATTCTACTTTGTCTAATAATAATTTAGTTTAATTGTGTATTTTCTACAACCTTTTTTTTTAATTCATTTTGTGTCCCCATAGCTAAAGTACATCTCTTGTAAGCTGTGTACAATTAGGATTTGTTTCTATTCAGTTGGAAAACATTTGCTTTTCAAAGTATTTAGTTCTTTCACATTTAGTGTAATTAGTAATGTGCTTGAGTTTAAATTTACAATATAACTTTTTTCTATTTGTTTGAACTGTCTTATGTTGCTTTTACTCTTATTTCTGGCCTTTTAAAATTAATATAGAAAATGAAAAAATTTAAAATTATTTAATTTTTTTCTTCCTATTAGCTTGGTAATTATACATACAATTACACAGTACTCTTTCAAGGTCACCCCAAAGATTAGAACATGAATTCTCAAATTCTAATATAAGTTAGTATTTTTACCATTTCTCTGTTAATAGAAATGCCTTAGAAACCTTAGACCATTTGCCATCTCCCCATATTATGTGCTAATTTTTTCATGAATTTAAATTTTCTTTGTCATTTATTATTATTTTATTTGTCACTGTTATTGTTAATATTGCTTTATACTTGCAATACTCATTTAGATATCTCAAGTCCTGACCCTTTTCACTGCTCTTGATTCTTTCCCTCATATCCATGCTAACAACAAAAATCATTTTTCTTCTGCCTAAAGATGCCCTTTATTGTGTGCCTCCATGTGTCCATCTGCTGCTGATTAATTCTTTCAGCTAACATTTGTCTGAAAATGTCTTAAGAATGAAGGATTTCACTTTTTGAAATACATTTTCACTGATAACAAAATTTGAAGTTGGCAGTTACTGCTTTCATTATCTGAAAGACATCATTCCATTGTCTTTTGGCTTCCATTGTTTCTGTTGAAAAGTCAGCTTTTTTGTTCAGGCGCAATTTCTGCTTTATTTCAGAGGTCCCTTTTTACTTCCTCTTTTTTTCAACATCCATGTAAGTAAATGTTTATAATTTTTTTTCTGATGAAATCCTTAGTATGTCTTTTTCAGGCTGAACTGTGTCTGATATGATGTCATTATCTAATGTGTACATTTGATAATGCTACTGTCTGTTGGTTGATTCTCTTGTTCTGTTGATATATTGTCTTGTTTCCTATATACTTGGTTATCTTTGTTTGAGTGCTAAAATCTCTGCAAGAAAAACTATAGAGATAATTTGAGGCTGGGTGTGGTGGCTCATGCCTGTAATCCCAGCACTTTGGGAGGCTAAGGCTGGTGGATCATTTGAAGTTAGGAGTTCGAGACCGGCCTGGCAAACACGTTGAAACCCCATTTCTACTAAAAATACAAAATTAGCTGGGTGGTAGTGGTATTACATGCCTGTAATCCCAGCTACTCGGGAGGCTGAGGCAGGAGAATTGCTTGAGCCTGGGAGGCAGAGCTTGTGGTGAGCTGAGATCACACCACTGTACTCCAGTCTGGGCAACAGAGTGAAACCCTGTCTCAAATAAATAAATAAATAAATAAATAAATAAATAAATAAATAAAATAATTTGAAGATCTGTGTTCTTTAGAGCAGAAGCTGGCAAGCTTTTTCTTTGAAGTTCAGGTGGTAAACATTATTGACTGCAGGCTTTATGGTTTCTGTTGCAACTGCTCAACTTTAACATTGTAGTGTGAAAAGTATTATATAAAATATGGAAATAAATGAATGAGCCTGGCTATGTTCCAATAAAGCTTTATTTAAAAACAGTCATCTGGCTGGATTTAGCTTAAGGGCTGCAGTTTGCTGACCCTCATTCTAGAGAGAATTTACTGTTGTCTCTGATAAATTGATAATCAAGGTGCACTAGCAATCGGATGCTACCTTATTCCAATAAGAAATTGAGATAATTCAAAGCTAGACTTCTGTTCTCATTAAAGCTGATCTGTATTGTATTCATCTAAATCCTTATTGATTAGAACAGGGTTTCTCAAAACTGGCACTATTTTGGGCCAGATAATTCTTTGTTGTAGAGGGCTATCCTGTACATTGGAGAATGTTTGGGAACATCATGGTCTCCAGCCCCTACATTCAGTAACACACTCCACATTACAATTCTGATAACTAAAAAGTCTCCAGTGATGGCCAAACAGCCTTGGGGGCAACAAAATTGCCCCTAGTCAAGAACCACTGGCCTGAGGGTCCCCTTGATGGTCAGATCTACCTCCATTTATTATTCTCCTAATGTTCCTCATGCTGTATACCTTGAAAGCTCTGCTCAGGTTCTCAACTTTCAGCCACCTCTTTAAGAATGGGATGACTACTTTAGTGTAAACTCACCCCAAATATTCATCTCATCCCTTTGGATTTTCTTCTCCTGGGCTTTGGCACACTCTTGTTTTCTAATACACCTTTTCTGTGTTCTATTTTAGATTTTTTTTTCAAGTTTAGTAGCCTGCTATTACTATAAGTAGAACACCCAATATATAGCACTTTTTTTGTTTGTTTTTTGAGATGGAGTTTCACTCTTGTTGCCCAGGCTGGAGGGCAATGGCACCATCTCAGCTCACTGCGACCTCCACCTCCTGAGTCCAAGTGATTATCCTGCTTCAGCCTTCCAAGCCGCTGGGATTGCAGGTACCTGCCATCACGCCCAGCTAATTCTTTTGTATTTTTAGTAGAGACGGGATCTCTCCACGTTGGCTATGTTGGTCTTGAACACCTGACCTCAGGCGATCCACCTGCCTTGGCCTCCCAAAGTGCTTGGATTAAGGCATGAGCCACTGTGCCAAGCCATATAGAGCACTTTTAATGGATTTTGTTTCCTAAATTTGTCTTTCATTAAATGTAATTGGCAGTGGAAAAAAAGTTCAATAGATTCTTAATAGATTCCAGTTATACTAAATGTCAAATTTATTTTAACTTTTCTATGTACATTAGTCAGTTAATTATAATGTTATTATCCAACTTAAAATTAAATAATTCAATTTCCCTGGGGAAAAAAATAGACTACATGCTAGGCTTTTCAAAGTCAATTTGGAAATCTAATCTTGATATAATTTATTTATTAATCATAATTTAGTACTAAAATAAAACGTGTATATTATTTAAAGATATTAGATTTTGTAATGGATAAAAATGATTTAAGTAAAAATTTTAAAGAAAATTAAGCTTTAGTTTTTTCCTAGAATAGTGCTAATTGAATTTGTTGTAGTTTTAATTATGTCATTATCAAGGACTTAATATGTTCAGTGTACCTGGGTCTTTTATTGACAACCTGTGTGACATTGATCTATTTGCTTAGTCTTTCTGGAACTTAGTTTTATTTCTATAAAATAAGTGCTAGCAAACATGTTTTGAACACAATTTATGCACAGCATTGGTTTAGGTATTTACATGTATTAATTTGAGTAATGCTTATAGTAACCATATGAGTTTGCCACTATTAATATGCCCACTCTTCAGATAAAGAAACTCATTTAATAAATAGAAATTTTATATTAATTTTATAAAATTTTATAAATATAAATGTACTGCTTACATTTGATATAACATGACAAAAGATTAGAGTTGGAGATTTGGCATGATGAATTCTGTTTAACTTATAAAGTTACTGTTAAACAGCTTTACTTGAATGTAACTTTGTAAAACAAATTGCAACATACATTGAAACTAACATTATAAAATACCTTGCTCAGTGATATTTTAGATGACCATTTTCCTGTAATGTTTGGATGTGCCCATATATCCAATTTAAAACTACTAACATATTTTATTGCTTTTAAGCAAAGATTTAGCCAATCAATATCAAGATAGTACTTACATTCTCTTAATCAGATTTGCTTTTCCAAAACTAGGTATTTTAAAAATAATATTCTGTGATTTGTCATCTGTAATTGGCCACCTGTAATCCTGTGCATGAGCTTCAACCAACTCCAAAACAAAAAACACTGCTTTAATTTTCTCTACCCTTGAAGGGTTAGTCAACTTCCAAGAATCAGATTGATAAATCATAAAACTGTATTTTTAAAACATTCATTTGCTCACTAACAATTTTTACAACACAAATCATTAAAAACTTGTGTATGTGTATTGAATGGCTAACCTATGTTTATGGTATAAAAGTAAAAGGGTATCCAGTGAGAAGTAAGATTACATCCTATCTCCTTCTCCAGATACTGAGTTCCCTTCCTTAGATTCCACTACTGGAAATTAGGCAAGCATTTGAGAACAACTACAGTAACTAATTTTGAAGTAGCATTTTTCTTACAAGAATCATATTCTATCTTACATATAGTGTATTATAGCTTTTATAGTTTCTTAACATACTTATTCTTTAATAATCATTTGCTCAATGGCTAATAGTTTCAAGGTGATGTTTAAATCAATAGTTTTAAATTTAATGCATATTTAAATTCAACAAGAAGATTTTTAAAGAATACTTTATTACCCAGCCAAACCAACTAAGTTGAAATCTTGGAGATGAAACGTTGAGGCATTAAGCTGAAAAAAAAATCAGATTTAAAAAAGGATTTTTAAACTGTCCAGTGGATTCTAATGCACACCAGATTAAACATGGCACCTCACACCCAACACTGGAATGTATAAAAATATATTTGGCACCAGATTTTTTCCCAAGTTGCTAATAATTAAGTGGGTAAAATATCCATGGTGTATTATAATGTTTAAAAGCTGGCTATCTGAACAGAAAGCCTTCATTTGTAGCATTTGCTGATTTTCATGGTGTAAATGCGTTCATCATGCCCAATTTAAAGCTTACAACATGACTCACTGTAAATGCAGAGTTGGGAAGAAATGCAAAACAGCACACCATTACATAATAGGTTATAGAAATAACCTCAAAATCACAAGTAATAATAAAATGGAGTAAAATAATTAGGAAATAATGAGTTTTAATTATTTATTGTATATATTTTAATATGATGTATTTAGTTGTCAGTTTAAATATATTTATATAATCTTTAATAATGGCAGTCTTTACCAGTCAGCTCACAAAATCCTCCAAAGTTTAAAAATCAGTTTTTGCAAGGCTGTACAAGTGAGCTCTGACAAACCACCACCTCTAATACATACTAATATGTGAACTATAATAGATATTGGAAAAGAAAATAGGCACCATGGAAGCATATTACCTTCTTTCCTCCTGAAAACCACTTCATAGAGGTGATAAAGTGCCTATTACCCTCTTTTTTATTGGTGAGGCTATAAAAACTCCCAGAGATCTCAATTTGCCCCTTCCTGAGTAAGCCACAGATCTGAACCAGATCACTGCCACATGACTCCCATTCACTGTCATTACCAACAAGTCTTTTAAGGATCATCCTAGAAACAAAAAAAATATAAATATGGGAACTATTTTTTAAAAAGGATTTTAATTATTGACATATCTATATTTAAAAGTTGTCCATGCTAATCGTCACTAATCATTGAGCTGATTTCCCTTTAATGATGAAGCTTAGAATAATATTTCACACAGAAGCTCCCTGCATTATTAACTAATAAACATTCACCAAGCACTTACCTTATATTCTGCTTGAGACATAAGGGCAGCAAAAGGAATACAAGCTTTGATGTCTACACTCAAGAAGCTTTCAGTCTTATTGATCCCCAAAATAGCAAAAACATAAAGCAAGCCAATTTATTTTAAATAAAATTACTAACTTGGAGTGTGACGAAAAATTCTAGCAAGTCAGAGAATGCTCAAGACGTTGTGTTTGATGAAGGAGAGAAGACTAGAGTTGGACCTTCAAAAATGGATAAGTGTCTGTCCTAAAGGGAGAAAAAAATTATCTCAGACAGCATGAGACTTCTTAATTTCCTCACTTCTCACACCTGCTTGTTTTGGAATGGCATTAGGGCTCAGCCCTGGCACCCCTGTCTGATCACTCAATGGTTATGACTATGCAGATCTTACTGAACACTGACAAAGGGGTGGTCTGAATCAACTTGATTTGCCTACAGAGTTGTGTGGCTACAAGCAAAAATGTTCCCCACTTACTTTCACCTTTGATAATATTGGGAAATATTTATTTGTGCCTTTATTGAAAATACATTTTCCAATAAAGGCCTCCTAATTGTGAATAGCGAGTCAGGTCTCTACACTCCCTTACCTATGTTTTTAACACTCTCTTTGATTTCAGATAGGTATATAGTAGAGAGATGGGGACAGGAAAGGGCTTGGGATCAAACAGAACAGCACAGTTCTTAGGTACATTGGAATTCTATAGTGCTAGCTATAATGTAGCCAGGGTCAAAACTAAAGGAACCAAATGCCCAAAGCACATTTTAAAGGAGGGAAATAATGAAATTTTAAAAAGTTATCAAGCTGGGGCCAAGATGGTTGATTAGAAGCAGCTGCAGTCTGTGGCACTCATAGAAGGAAAAAAAAATGAGGCACATAAATACAGGACCTTCAACTGAAATATCCAGGTACTTGCACTGGGACTGATCAGAGAAACAACTCGACCCATGGAGATCAAAGAAAAGCAGGGTGGGGCGATGGCCCACTGGGGAGCAACAATGAGCCAAGGGAAACTCCACCCCCAGCCAAGGGAAGCAGAGAGTGATTGGGTTACCCCAGGAAACCACACTTCTCCCACAAATCTTTGCAACCCACGGATCTGGAGGTCCCCTTGTGGGTCCACGCCACCAAAGCCTTGGGTTCAAAACACAGTGCTGTGTGGAGTTTCAGCAGAGCAGCTGCTCATACACACACAGAGACCAAGGAGCTTTACAGACTGCAACCCTGGGATCCCTGGCAAGGGTGTAGGTAGTTCAGGCAAGGCAGAGGGTATGTGCATACACCTAGGAAGGGAGCTGAATCCAGGGGGCTGAGTGGTGACAGTCTGTGAGCCCCACTTCCATAGCACATCACAAGATGAGACCCACTGTCTTGGAATTCCAGCCAGCCACCAGCAACAGGGTGGAGACTGTCTGAGATGGAACAGAGTCCCCAGGGGAGTGGACTGCCATCTCTGCTGTTTGGTCAATTCAGCCATTCCAGCCTGTGGGCTTTGGAGACTCCAAACAGTCCAGATGAGGAAGGGTCCCCCCAGCACAGCACAGCTGCTTTGCCAGAATGTGGCCAGACTGTTTCTCTAAGCGGGACCCCAATTCATTCCTCCTTACTATGTGGGACCTCCCAGACAGGGCCTCCAGCTACCCCCACCTGCCCATATTCTATGGACAGAGCTCTGATCTCTCCCTGGGGAGGGGTGGGACACGACCTTGGTTGTTTGGATGACTCAACCATTCCAGCCTGCAGCCTTTGGAGAGTTTAAGCCGACAGGAGCAGAGGCAGTTCCCCAGCACAACACAGTTGTTTGGTCAAGGTGTGGCCAGACTGCTTCTGTAACTGGGACTCTGATCCACTCCTCCTTGCAGGGCAGGTCCTCCCAGCCAGGGATTCCAGCCACCCTTTTCCATGTTCTATGGCCAACAGAGTTCTAATTTCTCCCTGGGATGGAGTGCCTGGGTGACAGGGCAGGCCACCACATTGGCTGTTCCAGCATCTCAGCAGGTCCAGCCTGTGGGCCTTGGAGAGCCCAAAACAATCAGGGGTTAACGATCAGGATCCCCAACACAGCACAGCTGCTCTACCAAAAGACAGCCAGACTGCTTCTTTAAGTGGGTACCTGATCCCATTTCTCCTGACTGGGTGAGACCTCCCAACAGGTATATCCAGCCACCTCCTACAGGTGTGTTCAGGCTGGCAACATGTCAGTACTCCACTGAAATGGAGTACTCCACTGAAATGGAGCTTTCAGAGGAAGGGGCAGGTTGCCATCTTTGCTGTTTTGCAGACTTCATTGGTGATACCTCTAGGTATGGGAAAAAACCAAGGTGATAAGGATGTGGAGCAGACCCCCAGCAAACTGCAGCAGCCCTATGGAAGAGTGGCCAGGCTGAAAAAAAAAGAAAGAAAGAAAACAACAACAAAACCACAAAACCCAACCCTATCCAAAGGTCAGGAAAGTCAAAGATCAAAGGTAGATAAGCCCATAAAGATGAGACAGAGTCAATGCAAAATCACTGAAAACTCAAAAAGCTGGAGTGCCCCTTTTCCTCCAAATAGCCATAACACCCCAGCAAGGGCTCAGAACTGGGCTGAGGCTGAGATGGCTGAAATGACAAATGCAGGCTTCAGAATGTGGATAAAAACAAGCTTTGCTGGGTTAAAGAAGCATGTTGTAACCCAATGCAAAGAAGCTGAGAATCATGATAACACAATGAAGGAGCTGACAGCCAAAGTAGCCAGTTTAGAGAGAAACATAACTGACCTGATAGAGCTGAAAAACACACTCTAAGAACTTTACAATGTAATCACAAGTATTAAGAGCAGAATATACCAAATGGAGGAAGGAATCTCAGAGCTTGAAGACTATCTTTCTGAAAAAGACAGCCAGATAAGAACAGAGCAAAAAAATAAAAAGGAATGAACAAACCTCTGAGAAATATGGGATTATAGGAAGGGACCAAGATGGCCAAATTGGAACAGCTCTGGTCTGCAGCTGCCAGTGAGACCAATGCAGAAGGTGGGTGATTTCTGCATTTCCAACTGAGGTACCCAGTTCATCTCATTGGGACAGGTTAGGAAGTGGGTACAACTCATGGAGAACTAGCAGAAGCAGGGTGGGGCATCAGTTCACCCGGGAAGTGCAAGGAGCTGGGGGATCTCTCTCCCTCAGCCAAGGGAAGCCTTGAGGTACTGTGCTACCAAGCCCGAGTACTATGCTTTTCCCACTGTTTTTGCAATCCACAGAACAAGAGATTTCCTCACGAGCCTACACCATCAGGGCCTTGGTTTTTAAGCACAAAACTGGGTGGTTGTTTGGGCAGGCACCAAGCAGTTTTTTTCATACCCCAGTGGTGCCTGGAACCCCAGACAAACAGAACTGTTCACTCCCCTGGAAAACAGGCTGAAGCCAGGGAGCCAAGTGGTCTTGCTCAGTGGGTCCCAGTCCCACAGAGCCCAGCAAGCTAAGAACCATGGGCTTGAAATTCTCACTGCCAGCACAGCAGTCTGAAGTTGACCTGGGATGATTGAGCTTGGTGGGAGGAGGGGTATCCACAATTACTGAGGCTTTAGTAGGCAGTTTTCCCCGGACAGTGCAAGGAGGTTGGGAGGTTTGGACCAGGCAGAATTCACCACAGTGTGGCAATGCGGCTGTGGCCAGACTGCTTCTCTGCATTCCTTCTCACTTGGGCAGGGCATCTCTGAAGGAAAGGCAGCAGCCCCAGTCACGGGCTTACAGATAAAAGGCTCATCTCCCTGGACAGAGCACCTGAGGGAAGGGGTGGCTGTGGGTGCAGCTTCAGTGGACTTAATCTTTCTGGCCTGCTGGCTCTGAAGAGAGCAGCTGATTCTGATAAGGGGGATTCCCCCAGCACAGCACACCAGCTCTACTAAGGGACAGACTGCCTCCTCAAGTTGGTCCCTGACCCCTGTGCCTCCTGTGCCTCCTGACTGGGAGAGACCTCCCAACAGGGATCAACAGATACCTCATACAGGAGAGTTCTGGCTGGCATCAAGCTGGTGCCCCTCTGAGACAAAGCTTCCAGAGGAAGGAGCAGATAGCAATCTTTGCTGTTCTGCAGCCTCCTCTGGTGATACCCAGGTGAACAGGGTTTGGAGTGGACCTCCAGCAAACTGCAGCAGACCTGCAGAAGAGGGGCCTGACTAACTAACAAACAGAAAGCAACAACATCAACATCAACAAAAAAGACCCCCCCCCCCACCCCGCGCAGAAACCCCTTCCAAAGATCAACATTCAAATTCAGGAAATGCAGAGAACCCCAGTAAGATACTCCATGAGAAGTTCATCCCAAAGACATATGGTCTTCAGATTCTCCAAGGCCAAAATGAAAGTGAAAAGGTTAAGGGCAGCAAGCGAGAAAGGCTAGGTCACCTACAAAGAGAAGCCCATCTGACTAACCACAGACTTCTCAGTGAAAACCCTACAAACCAGGAGAGATTGGGTGCCAATACTCAACATTCTTAAAAAAATAAAAAGAATTTCCAATCCAGAATTTCGTATCTGGCCAAACTAGGCTTCATAAGTGGAGAAATAAGATCATTTTCAGACAAGCAAATGCTAAGGGAATTCATTACCACCAGACCTGCCTTCCAAGAGCTCCTGAAGGAAGCACTGAATATGGAAAGGAGAAATGGTTACCAGCCAATACAAAAACACACTGAAGTACACAGACCAGTGACACTATGAAGCAACCACATAAACAAGTCTATAAAATAACCAGCTAGCATCATGATGACAGGATCAAATCCACACATAGCAATACTAACCTTAAATGTAAATGTGCTAAATCCCTTTAATAAAAGATACAGAATAGCAAGCTGGATAAATAACCAAGACTCATAGGTATGCTGTCTTCAGGAGACCCATCTCACATGCAAAGACACATAATAGATTCAAAATAAGGGGATGGAGGGAAATTTACCAAGCAAAAGGAAAACAGAAAAAAGCAGGGGTTGCAATCTTAGCTTCTGACAAAATAGAATTTAAACCAACAAAGATAAAAAAAGACAAAGAAGGGCATGACATAATGGTAAAGGGGTAAATTCAACAAGAAGAGCTAACTAACCTAAATATATATGTGCCCAATACTGGAGCACCAAGGTTCATAAAGCAAGTTCTTAGACAAGAGACTTAGATTCTCAAACAATAATACTGGGAGGCTTTAACACCCCATTGACAGTATTATACAGATCATTGAGACAGAAAATTAACAAGATAGTCAAGACCTGGACTCAGCTCTGGATCAAATGGACCTGACAGATATCTCCACCAAAAGACAGACGTCTCCACCCGAAAACAACAGAAATATACATTCTTTTCATCCCCACACCTATTCTAAAATTGTTCACATAATTGGAAGTAAAACACTCCTCAGCAAATGCAAAGTAACTGAAATCATAACAAACAGTCTCTCAGACCACAGCACAATTAAATTAAAACTCAAGATTAATAAATTCACCAAAAACCATGCAACTACATGGAAATTGAACAACCTGCTCCTGAATGACTTTTGGGTAAATAATGACATTAGGGCAGAAATCAAAAAGTTCTTTGAAACTAATGAGAACAAAAGTACAGTGTACTAGAATATGTGGGACACAGCTGAAGTAGCGTTAAGAGGGAAACTAAATGCCCACATCAAAAAGCTAGAAAGCTAGAAAGCTCTCAAGTTAACAACTAACATCACAACTAAAAGAAGTAGAGAACCAAGAGCAAACAAACTTTAAAGCTAGCAGAAGACAATAAGTAACCAAGCTCAGAGAAGAACTGAAGGAGACAGAGACACAAAAAACCCTTCAAAAAAATCAACAAATCCAAGAGTTGTTTTTTGTAAAAAATTAATAAAATAGATAGACTGCTAGCTAAACTAATGAAGAAAAGAGAGAAGATTCAAATAAACACAATCAGAAATGATAAGGGGCCTATCACTGCTTACCCCACAGAAATAAACAACCATCAGAGAATACTATAAACACATCTATGCACATAAACTAGAAAACCTGGAAGAAATGGATAAATTCCTGGGCACATGCACTCTCCCAAGTCTGAACCAGGAAGACATTGAATCCCTGAATAGACCAATAATGATTTCTGAAATTGAGGCAGTAATAAATATCCTACCAACCAAAAAAATTCCAGGACCAGATGGATTCATAGCTGAATTCTACCACAGGTACAAAGAAGAGCTGATAGCATTTCTACTGAAACTATTTCAAAAAATTGAAAAGAAAAACTCATTCTATGAGACCAGGATCATCCTGATACCAAAACCAGGCAGAGATACAACACAAAAGGAAAACTTCAGGTCAATATCTTTGATGAACATCGATGCAAAATTCCTCAACAAAATACTGGCAAACTGAATCCAGCAGCACATCAAAAAGCATATCCACTATAACCGAAGTGGTCTTCATCCCCAGGATGCAAGATTGGTTCAGCATATGCAAATCAATAAATGTGATTCATCACATAAACAGAACTAAAGACAAAAACCACATGATTATCTCCATAGATGTATTAGAAAAGTCCTTTGATAAAATTCAACAGCCCTTCATGTTAAAATTCTCAATAAACTAGATATTGAAGGAACATACCCCAAAATAATAAGAGCCATATATGTTGGACCTGCAGCCAATATCATACTGAACGGGCTAAAACTGGGAGCATTCCCCTTGAAAACCAGCATAAGACAAGGATGCCCTCTCTCACCACTCCTATTCAACATAATGTTGAAAGTTCTGGCCAGGGCAATCAGGCAGAGAAAGAAATAAAGAATATTCAAATAGGAAGAGAGGAAGTCAAGCTATCTTTGTTTGCAGATGACATAATCTTATATCTAGAAAACCTCATCATCTCAGCCCAAAAGCTTCTTTTTTTTTTTTTTTTTTTTTTTTTTTGAGATGGAGTCTTGCTCTTTTGTCCAGGCCAGACTGCAGTGGTGCTATCTCAGCTCACTGCAAGCTCCGCCTCCCAGGTTCACACCATTCTCCTGCCTCATCCTCTGGAGTAGCTGGGACTACAGGTGCCTGCCACCGTGCCTGGCTAATTTTTTGTATTTTTAGTAGAGACAGGGCTTCACCATGTTAGCCAGGATGGTCTCGATCTCCTGACCTCATGATCCACCCGCCCCGGCCTCCCAAAGTGCTGGGATTACAGGCATGAGCCACCGCACCCGGCCCCAAAAGCTTCTTAGTCCGATAAGCAACTTCAGCAAAGTCTCAGGATACAAAATCAATGTACAACAATTGCTAGCATTCCTATACACCAACAACAGGCAAGCAGAGAGCCAAATAACAAATAAACTCCTATTCACAATTGCCACAAAAAGAATAAAATACCTAGGAATATAGCTAACAAGGGAAGTGAATAACCTCTTCAGGGAGAACTACAAATCCCTGCTCCATTAAATCAGAGATGACACAAAAAAGTGTAAAAACATTCCATGCTTACAGATAGGAAGAATCAATATAATGAAAATGCCCACATTGCCCAAAGCAATTTATAGATTCAATGCTATTCCCATTAAACTAGCACTGACATTCTTCACATCATTAGAAAAAACTGTTTTAAAATTTATATGAAACCAAAAAAGAATAGCCAAGGAAATCCTAAGCAAAAAGAAAAAAGCTGGAGGCATCACACTACCCAACTTTAAACTATACTACAGTACTACAATTGCCAAAATGGCATGGTACTGTACCAAAACAGGCACACAGAGCAATGGAACAGAAAAGAGAACCCAGAAATAAGACCACACACATCTACAACCATCTGATCTTCCACAAACCTTACAAAAACAAGCAATGGGGAAATGATTCCCTATTTAATAAATGGTGCTGGGAGAACTGGCTAGTGATATGCAGAAAATTGAAACTGGACCTCTTCCATACACTATATACAAAAATGAATTTGAGATAGAGTAAAGACTTAAATGTAAAACCCAAAACTATAAAAACCCTAGAAGAAAACCTCGGCAATACCATTCAGGACATAGGCATGGGCAAAGATTTCATGACAAAGATGTCAAAAGCAATTGCAACAAAAGCCAAAATTGACAAATGGGATCTAATTAAACTAAAGAGCTTCTGCACAGAAAAAGAAACTATCAACAGAGTAACTAGACAACCTACAGAGTGAAAGAAGATTTTTGCAATCTATTTATCTGACGAAGGCTAATATTCAGCATCTATCAGAACCTAAACAAATTTACAAGACAAAAACAACCCCATTAAAAAGTGGGCAAAAGACATGAACAGACACTTTTCAAAAGAAGACATACATGCAGCCAAGAAACATGTGAAAAGAAGCTCAACATCACTGATCATTAGAGAAATGCAAATCTAATACACAATGAGATACCAACTCAAACTACTCAGAATAGCTACTATTAAAAAGTCAAAAAAACAACAGCTGCTGGCAAGTTTATGGAGAAAAATGAATGCTTTTACACTGCTGGTGGAAATGTAAATTAGTTCAACAATTGTGGAAGACAGTGTGGCAGGAGATATAAGAAACAACACTGTTCTGTTCCATTGATCTATATCTCTGTTTTGGTACCAGTACCATGCTGTTTTGGTTACTGTAGCCTTGTAGTATAGTTTGAAGTCAGGTAGTGTGATGCCTCCAGCTTTGTTCTTTTGGCTTAGGATTGACTTGGCAATGCAGGCTCTTTTTTGGTTCCATATGAACTTTAAAGTAGTTTTTTCCAATTCTGTGAAGAAAGTCATTGGTAGCTTGATGGGGATGGCATTGAATCTATAAATTACCAAAATGCTCACCATCACTGGCCATCAGAGAAATGCAAATCAAAACCACAATGAGATATCATCTCATACCAGTTAGAATGGCAATCATTAAAAAGTCAGGAAACAACAGTGCTGGAGAGGATGTGGAGAAAAAGAAACACTTTTACACTGTTGGTGGGACTGTAAACCAGTTCAACCATTGTGGAAGTCAGTGTGGCAATTCCTCAGGGATCTAGAACTAGAAATACCATTTGATACAGCCATCCCATTACTGGTTATATACCCAAAGGACTATAAATCATGCTGCTATAAAAACACATGAACACGTATGTTTATTGCAGCACTATTCACAATAGCAAAGACTTGGAACCAACCCAAATGTCCAACAATGATAGACTGGATTAAGAAAATGTGGCACATATACACCATGGAATACTATGCAGCCATAAAAAAGGATGAGTTCATGTCCTTTGTAGGGACATGGATGAAATTGGAAATCATCATTCTCAGTAAACTATCGCAAGAACAAAAAACCAAACACCGCATATTCTCACTCATAGGTGGGAATTGAACACTGAGAACACATGGACACAGGAAGGGGAACATCACACTCTGGGGACTGTTGTGGGGTGGGGGAGTGGGGAGGGATAGCATTGGGAGATATACCTAATGCTAGATGACGAGTTAGTGGGTGCAGCACACCAGCATGGCACATGTATACATATGTAACTAACCTGCACATTGTGCACATGTACCCTAAAACTTAAAGTATAATAATAAAAAAAAAAGAAACAACACAACAGGCATATAAGAAACAACACAATTGTCAATAAAACAAAAAAGCCAATCAAAAGCAGATTCAGAAATTGGAAATATCACATATAGTCTTGAAGATAACTACACTATATCAGTCACTGTCTAGTCAAGAACACAGAAACCATACTAGGGATTTTTATCATGGAGAATTGAATATTAATATGTACTTAAACAGGTGTTAGAGAAATGAGAAAATAAAAAAGGACCTATAAAATAACAAACACAGAAATGGTGCCTAAAAGAAGGAGCTGACTTTTCAACAGAAACAATGAAAGAAGACAATGGAATGGCATCTTTGAAGTAATGAAAGAAAATAATCACTAACTTAGAATTCTATTATCAGTAAAAATGTGCTTCAGAAAAAGAAAGCAAATGAAGACATTTTCAGACCCAAAAAAATAAACCTAAAAGATTTTGTCAGCAATAGACATACATAGAGGCAAACAATAGGATGCTCTGCAGGCAGAACAAAAATGATCTTGGATGGCAGCTTGGATATGCCGGAGGGAATGACAAGCAATGGAAAGGGTCATGATGTTAGATATATAAATGAACATTGCATGTATAAAGCAATATGAATAATAATGTGATGAGAAAGTTAGAAAAATATTCCTGAAAACATACTGTATATGGGAAAGTGGTAAATGATCTGTGTTCTAAGGTACATGCGTTGACAGGAAATTAGCACGAGTATTAATTGATATATCCTGATTCCTTCCTTTCTTTTCACAGTTTTCTTCCCTTATACACTTTTTACATTTCTAACTCTATTCCAGTGTCTGTTTCCTGGAGAAAACAACCTGTGATGAGTATCTTCAACTTTAGAAGCTAATGCTATTTTTTATTTTTCCAATTACACTTTCGCTAACACTATGTGAATGCTCCAATTGGTCTACATTCTCACAAACACTTGGTACTATCAATCTTATTGATTTTGGCCACTTTGGTGGTTATATAGTAGTGTATCATTGAGGTTATACTGTATATTTCCTGAATTGTTAATGATGTTCACCATATTTTTATATGATTTTTTAATGTTATTGTGAAATGCCTATTCATGTCTATTTCACCTTCAATTTTTATTGGTTTGTATTTAGTGATTTAGATTTATATTTTATGTTCTTTAGAATATTATCTATGGAAATTATTGGAGGCATAAAACTAAATTTTGTTCCATCAAAGAGAAATTTATTTGCATTTGTTTCGAGCCTCCTACAAACACTTAACTACAAACACTCCTACAAATAACTTAACTTTTACAAACTGAAAGTTAAGTTTGGCAAATTTTAGGTCAGGTGGTGCTTTTGGAGTCCATTCGGTGACTGAAATGAGTATGGGTTTGTAACAGAACCTCTCAGAGTGGACATTTAAAAAAATTTCCTATCCTCTCAAAGCTAAATGTAGGCCAAACAAATATCTCTTAAGTCTTCAACTAAGGGCAATTTTATTTTGCTTTATTAAACCCGCTGAGTGTGTCATCCTTCGGGATCTAGTTTTACAAGAGGAGTCTCCAATATTCAGCCCTTCTCCCTGGTTAACCCACAGACTTCTACCCAGATGTGTGGCCATTACAACAGATCTTGGCTATTAGAGATAAAGAGAGAAACTCCAGGAAAATTTTCAGCCCCAGGACTCACTAAATTCCTACTTTCTTATCTCATTTGGTCAGGGGCAGTGGTGTGCTGGTAAATATTTAACAAATAGATCTCCAGAAAAAAAGAGCAAAAAAAATTAAATAAATAAAAAGCCCAACTTCATAGTGTTTGCCAATTTTCATAGCGGAAATATTCCAACCATGGTCAATTTCAAGCTACTAATATGACCTCGCTAAATGCAGAGTTGGGGAGAAAGGTACAGCAGCACACTATTGTACAGTATTTTCAAACTATAGATACTATAGATGTAAAGAACTTAAAAAGCATAGGTAATTAATATTTAGTGAATTAAGTTATTGATGTTTTATTACTAACATCAATGTCAATATCAATATTTCATTCATATTGATAATTATTAATAGGATTGTTTGATTATTGATAATTTAAAAAACCTAATGGAACTATGTTCTCATGCTTCATCATGAATGTGACTCAGCTAATCTCCTCATGTCTGTTTTTGTGTGTGTGTGTTCTCTTCCGCTTCTCTTCTGACCTTCTTCTCTCTGGACTTTCAGTTTCATTCAATTTTCAAGAAGACTTTGGATTGACCCAGCTAATAACTGCAAACTTTGGTCACTGGCAAGTCTCTGGATTGGCTGCCCTTGGCTGGATTTTGATACCAGGTTCTACTCCCCCACTTATCTTCGTAGCAGAGGTTGTGGCAGGGCCATTTTCTTTACCAGGGGCAACATGAGGCAGGCAGGCAGGCAACAATGATTGACATGTCTAGTACAAATAGGATAACTGTAGAACTATAAAAAGAAAAGTGCAAGATTCCCCGTGCTCAGAGTTCCACCAGTGGTTGTGTTAAATCAGGATACATGACTCCATTCAGGGCAAGAAACAATTTGCCTGGCATTGCACAGTGAGTCAACAGTAAACTCCAAAACTCCAATTTATGTAAAGGGGCAAAAATCACTTTTATTATTCTTTGAACAAAGCTGCTCCTTAAAAAATCACCCTTATATTAATATAACAATACTAATTAATTACCTTCATAAACATTCCTCAAAATTTTCTTTTCTTTTTATGAGTGTTATTTATTTATTTATTTATTTATTTATTTATTTTGCTTTCTTGCTCAGTGGCTATATTGTGTTTGGGGATGTGAGTTCAAAAGTCAAGGACTCAGTTTGGTTTAATTTCACTTATGTGGCACTGTGGTTACACATCGGAATTTAAAAGAGCTGAAAATATTATTCTTTCCTATCTTTTTTTAAAAAACCATATCTGAAGATCCCAACAGCTTTTATGACTTATTCCAAAAAGGCTTTCCCTAAAATAAACTGGAAGATTCGGTTTTATGTTATTTAGGTCATTTAATCAGAAAGCAAATCATGTGTCTTTGATCATGCCCTTGCCAGAAGATCCCTAACTCATTAGTGTGCTATTAATGAGGCTGCATTTTAAAGCAGGTGTTGTTAAGTGCAATCAGAGCAGCTTTATTAAGCCACAAATTGTCTTGCGATGACAAAGGAAGTCAGATTGGTCTATGCTCAGTTAACCTTTGTCTATATGCATGACTTGGCTGATTAAACAGCAATTGATAATGACCTTCAGTCTTGCAAAGCCAGAAAAAGGTGATGCCTAATGTTGGCATTCATTGTGTGTGATGTGAGTGAAAGGCAGGCAGTCTCTTTAATTTAGAAATCTATAATGCAATTGCAAAATTAACTAATATTGCAGTGCAATGAACCACTAATTTATGTGTATTAAACTGATATTTTGATGTGCATGTTATTTCAGAGTACAGCTTTATTGCAGAGTTAACTTCAGGTCAAAGAAATTTTGACTGGCCATCCTTAGTAGCTAGAAATAGAAGACTGTGGAAGAAAAAGGAGAGTTGTTTTTGAAGATTTGTTAATTTCTTTAACAAGCATACTAAGCTCCTAATATGTTGAAGATGCTGGCCTGGTAAATTTATCACAGGCCCTGTTTCCCAAGGGCTCACAATGGGGTGATAGACAGGAACACCAATTTTATTACAATTTATTCAGTGCAACAACAGTTTATCATTAGCACCTGAGAAGAATGCTGTCTGTCATTCTCAGGACCTCAACTGATTCCAAAAATGTGGAGGGAGATGCAGCAGACTGTAGGGAAATTTTAATTTATTGAGTGTCTGTTATATGCTAGTCACTTCATTCATGTTGCCTCATTGAATCCCTATAACAATTCTTAGGTAAATATTACTGACCTCATTTCACAGATGAGGAAACAAATTCTTTCATGGGTTAAGTATTTTTTGCCTGAGTACAGTCAAATGGTAACAGTTTGAAGTCGAGCTCTGTTTGTCTCTAAAACCCACATTATTCTAAAACCAATGTGGAAACACCCAAGATAAATAGAATAAGAGTAAACGGCAAATTGTTTATCTTCTGTGCTCTATGTGCATGTGTTTGTTGGTGGGGGCTTGTGTGTATTCTAGCTTTTTTGTTACCTAGTTTGGGTTTGAAATCCATTTTGAACAATGGCTTCCACCTCATGGCATTATAAATTTCTCTGTATTCTTTGTAAGTTCACCTTCATGAGCAGACATTTGATGACTTCATCACTTATCACAGCATCCATCCTTAATATTTAGAAGGCTTTACAAAGTACCCTCCTAAAATATGAACAGTCTGGAGGTGGTCATAACTTGAAGTTTTGCTAACACACTTCCCAGCTTGGGTTAAGGGCATTTTATTCTGGGGTATATTAATAGACGGGTCAAGAAAAAATACCAGGGGTCAAGTAGATATGTTTAACTGTTAAGCAAAGTTAGAGAAGTTTCTTTCTTACTGCAGGACCTTTCAGAGCCTTTAACATGTTAATAGTATTGTGACTTTCCAGGAGAGAATTGGGGTACTCTGCATTTCCCAAGCTTTCTTGACCATGAGGCTCTTTGTTCTTTGAGTACCAATTAACACTCATAAGAATTAGTGTGTGCAGAACACAGCAAGCCCCTGCTGTATAAAACACTAGCAGCCAACTAACAGCATAGAGAAGGCAGAGAAAAGAAATACAGAGGAAGAGACACTGATACAGGAAATACGAAACCCAATGATTGATTTAACCTTTTTCGCAGCTTTGCTAGAACCTGTCGTGATTATTTAAATGCTGGAACAATCTTAATGAATGGCATGATCATTAATTATAAAAATATAAATAATGCTCATTTAAATTGCCAAAAGCAAATATCAATAGTTACTATAAATATCAGCTGAGTCTCCCTGACCTTTATCTTTCTTCTTTTTTAAAAAAATTGTTTCCTATAAGTTTTTGGGGAACAGGTGGTGTTTGGTTACATGAGTAAGTTCTTTAGTGGTGATTTGTGAGATTTTGTTGCACTCATCACCTAGGCAGCATACACTATACCCAATTTGTAGTCTTTTATCCTTCACCCCCGCTTCTACCTTTTCCCCCAAGTCCCCAAAGTCCATTGTATCATTCTTATGCCTTTGCACCCTCATAGCTTAGCTCCCACTTATGAGTGAGAATACACGATGTTTGGTTTTCTATTCCTGAGTTACTTCATGTGGAATAATGGTCTCCAATTCCACCCAGGTTGCTACAAATGCTGTTATTTCATTTATTTTTATGGCTGAATAGTATTCCATGATGATATGTGTATACGTATTTTATATATATATATACACACACACATATATATATATTTTATATATATATATATATATATATATCACAATCTCTTTATCCACTCATTGATTAATGGGCATTTGGGCTGGTTCCATATTTTTGCAGTTGCAAATTGTGCTGCTATAAACATACATGTGCAAGTATCTTTTTTGTATAATGACTTCTTTTCCTCTTTGTAAATACCCTGTAGTGGGATTGCTGGATCAAATGGTAGTTCTGCTTTTAGTTCTTTAAGGAATGTCCTATTTTTAGTTCTTTAAGGAATGTCCACACTGTTTTCCATAGTGGTTTTACTAGTTTAAATTCCCACCAGCAGTTTAAGTGTTCCCTTTTCACTGCATCCCTGCCAACACCTATTATTTTTTGATTTTTTGGTTATGACTGTTCTTGCAGGAGTAAAGAGCTATCACATTGTGGTTTTAATTTGCATTTCCCTGATCATTAGTGATGTTGAGCATTTTTTCATATGTTTCTTGGCCACTTGTATATCTTCTTTGAGAATTGTCTATTCATGTCCTTAGCCCATTTTTTGATGGGATTGTTTTTCTCTTGCTGATTTGTTTGAGTTCCTTGTATATTCTGGTTATTAGTTCTTTGTTAGTACAGACTGTGAAGATTTTCTCCCACTCTGTAGGTTGTCTGTTTACTCTGCTGATTGTTTCTTTTGCTGTGCAGAAACTATTTAGTTTAATTAAGTCCCACCTATTTATCATTGTTTTTGTTGCATTTGGTTTTGCGTTCTTGGTCATGATGTCTCTGCCTAAGCCAATGACTAGCAGGGTTCTTCCAATGTTATCTTCTAGAATTTTTATGGTTTCAAGTCCTTGCTCCATCTTGAATTGATTTTTGTATAAGATGAGAGGTGAGGATTCAGTTTCATTCTTCTCCATGTGGCTTGTCAATTATCCCAGAGCATTTGTTGAATAAGGTGTCCTTTCCTCACTTTATGTTTTTGTTTGCTTTGTTGAAGATCAGTTGACTGTAAGTATTTGGCTTTATTTCTGGGTTCTCTATTCTATTCCACTGGTCTATATGCCTGTTTTTATACCAAAACCATGCTGTTTTGGTGGCTGTGGCCTTATAGTATACTTTCTAAGTCAGGTAATGTGATGACTCCAGATTTGTTTTTTTTGCTTACTCTTGTTTTGGCTATGCAGGCTCTTTTTTGGTTCCACAGGAATTTTAGGATTGTCTTTTTTAATTCTGTGAAGAATGATGGTATTCTGATGGGAAGTGCATTGAATTTATAGATTTCTTTTGGCAGTACGGTGATTTTCACAAAATTCATTCAACCCATCCATGAGCATGGAATGTGTTTACATTTGTTTGTGTCATCTATGATTTCTTTCAGCAGTGTTTTGTAGTTTTCCTTCTAGAGATCTTTTACCTTCTTGGTTAGGTATATTCCTAAGTGTTTTATTTATTTTTTTGCAGCTATTGTAAAAGGGGTTGAGTTCTTGATTTGATTCTCAGATTGGTCACTGTTGGTGTATAGCAGAGCTACCGATCTGAATGACACTTGAAGGAGTTGTTCTTTTTCAGATTATATAAAGGTAATTAAAGAATTAATGGGGCAAATGAAACATGGGATTTTGAAATCAACTATGTAGATTTACTAAAATTGACTAAATCCCATTCTAGTACAAATTATTTGCAGCTTTATTAGTTGCATAATTCTAGGTCACTTCTGGTTGCATTTTTAGACTCACCTTTCAAAAATACATTTTAAAAATGATCTTCCAAGATCAAAATCTCTGATGTACAGTTAAGGTCAATAGTCAATCTTCCCTCACTAAAGCAGTATCTCTTTGGTCTTGCATAGGGTCCTCCACTTTTTGTCTTTACAACATTGTTTTTGTCCAGTGTTCATCCTATTGGTTGCCTCCTAGTAACAATGCTAAGAAATCAATAACATTAAACTCTGAAACTCTCCATCTGCAAGTGCAAAACGTTACATTACAGGTTATCTCTGTCACCCCAAGTCCGTTTGCTCTGTTATAATTGTGATCGCTATAGTATTCCTGTTCTTGTCCTAGTACTGCATTAATCCAAGTATCATAGTCACCGTAGGAGCTGACCTGTCATGTAATTCCTCTTGCAGCCCCTGGAATGTTTCCAAGCATGCCTTAGGATAGTATTATTGCTTGAAAATGCTTTCTACTCACAGGGAAAGAAGGCTGGCTGGAAGACTGTTGGAGGATTGTTATATTTAAGAAGGCATCAGGTTGATTTGCCATGGCTTTATAATTTTTTTTTCCATTTAAATATCTTTTAGACTTCCTTGGAAGACTGCTTGATTCTACCTACTTTAAAGAAGCCCTGTTTTCTTCGGTCTCCTACCTAACCTCTCACTCTTGCAGGAAGTAGATCCCCAAAATAACAGGTGATAAAAATGATAATTGGCACTACTGACAATGACCTGTTCATTCAAAATGGATTTCAGACCCAAACTAGGCAACAAAAAAGCTAGAATACACCTGTTCAGCCCAATGACAATCTCAAGTGACTTATACATACAGGCTAGTGATCAGTAAATATATGATAATGATGCCTGGTCATTTCGCCACCTTGTGAGACAGGTCTGGGATGTGACCCAGATGGAAAGTTTTGTAGGATAGAGCAGGAGTGATCCAGGTCTTCCTCCAAGGTCATTCATTTCTGTGCCAAATAACAAACAGGTTTCAATAAGGATTATTTTATAAATTGAGCAACCACAGATTATTCCTTGGATAGGTGAAAATTATTTTGGTGAAAAGGATAAGAGAAGCGCACTTCAGCTGATAGATGTTTCAATTTTTCTGAGAAAAGAAATGTATTTACCAGATCGGAATCATTTTGGTAAATTACATTTCAATGCTGAGTCATCTGCACAGCAGTGCGGTAGTGCACGCCCTTTTGAAAGATAAATTGTACAGCTGCATTATTCAAATCTCTGCATTAGAAATGGCTTGAGACGAGCTCTGAAAGGAACTTAATCCATACACAAAAACTTCTAGCTTTTGCAATTATCTTTTAAAGAGGAAAAAGTTCCAAAGATCTTAGAAAGAATCTCCAGGAAATATTTACACTGAAAGTAACATTGCTGTGAATGACTGCCTTGTTTTAGACTTCACAAAAATTGTGACTGTGACTACCAGATGGATAAGAATGATGCAAAATTCAAGATGGCATTGCTGAGGCTGGTTCTTACATGAAATTGAATAAAATTCCAAACTGTTTTACTGCTTAATTTGACTCATCCTCATTTTCAGTTTTATTCACTTCACAGTTGCATGAGAAGCAGTGTGATATTCGAGGACAGAGGTTCTCAAACTGTCTTCCCAGACTAGCAGCATCAGCAGCATCAGGGAAGTTGTTGAAAAGCAAATGCTGTGGCCCTCTGCTGCAGACCTACTGAGTCAGAAAGTCTGGAGGTGAGGCCCAGCTATCTGTGCCTAACAGTCCTTCATGTGCTTCTAATCATGCTACCGTTTGAGAACCTTCCTACTAAAATCTCTGGAATTAGGAGAGTCTGCAATTCACCAAATCAGCTGGATGAACATAAATAAATCCTCCAACGTCTCTGAATCTTAATTTCTTATCTGCAAATTGAGGAGTGTGGGCTACATGATTTCTAATGTACTTTTCAATTTTGTAATTCTGCACTAATACTTCTACATGGAAATTTTAATTCCACCGTAATAGCTCAGTGTTGAAAGTCAGAAAGCCGTGATTTCAAATTCTGGCCTTACTCCTTAATAGTTGTGTCCTTCTTCTTATGTTTAGCCTCTCAGAGCCTCAGTTTCCACATTTGTAAACTGCAGATAACAATAATGCTTATGTCATTAGTTTGTTTGTTTGTTTGTTTGTTTTTTGAGATGGAGTCTTGCTCTGTCACCCAGGCTGGAGTGCAGTGGCGGAATCTCAGCTCACTGCAACCTCCGCCTCCCGGGTTTAAGAGATTCTCCTACCTCAGCCTCCCAAGTAGCTGGAATTACAGGCATGCACCACTATGCCTGGCTAATTTTTTTTTTATTTGTTGGTAGAGATGGGTTTCACCATGTTGGCCAGGCTGGTCTCGAACTCCTGGCCTCAAGTGATGCACCCACCTCGGCCTCCCAAAATGCTCGGATTACAGGCGTGAGACACCAGGCACCCGGCTATGTCATTGATTTTTGAGGGTTAATGGAGCTAATACATGTAGAGTGCTAAGTATGGTAGTTGGCATAAAGCCTCAATAAAGGATAGTTACTATTTGGAGGTGAAGCTCTGAAAAAGATGCTTAATTTTCAAAGTCATAAAATTAGAAAAGAGACTTCCCTTTGAAAGCCTATGTAGCAAGGAGCAAAGACTGCAAGATTCAGAACAAATGGGCATTTCAGCTTCAGTTACTTGTCATTAACTGATTTAGGCTGTTAGAAAATGCATTGGCACTTAAGATTTCCATTCTTCTGTGAAGAAAAAGATGCGTGTTTTTTCACATTATTTGGATAAACTACAATTATTTTAAAATATGAAGAGAAATTCAGTAAAATTTTGGTAAGACAATAAGATGCTAATGTGATGGTGGTAATGTCTTTTTCTTCACAGCTTTATTTTTGTTTGGTCAAAAAAAAAAGAAAACACAGTTGTTTATAGTGTATTTGCAAACAATCAACTAGGAAATCATGCATTAATTGTTCAGATGAAAGCATGATGCTGCTCATATTTATCTGTGTTTATCACGGCACCAGACGGCCTGATTGGGAAAGTACTTCGTAGCAGGAGAGCCCAAGACACAGCAGCTAAATAGATGCCTCTTTAATGTGAGGTGTTCGGTATCAGATGGGGCTTTGTTGACCTTGTTCCTAAGCACAATCAGCCTGTATGGAGGGCTCTGTGCAGCAGCGCCTAGGCCTCTGTTTTAGTTCTTAATTTCTTTCACGGCATCAAAAGGCTTTTCTATTCAAAAGCTTTTCTTTTTCTTTTACTCGTGAGCCTCTGCAATTGAGGCAGAACTGCAATCTACCAGCAGCAGCCTTTGTTCTGGCCTTTCAGGAGGCTGGCGAGCAGTGTGAGTCCTTCCTAATTAGCCTGCGGACCAATGAAATAGTTCTTTGAGCCAGGAGAGGCTGCAATCCCACAGCCCAAATGGCAGAAAAGGGGGGAAAGGCCTCTTTAATTAAGGCCCAACAAAACTGGTAAAAAATGGTATTTTGCTCTCTACAAATGTCTCTTTTAAATCCCTGTAAATGCTGGCACATGCACATGCTTTTAAACTGTGCCTTCCCTTTTGCCAATGTACTGTCGGTCTGCTTTGGCTAAAGACTACAGAATTTATTGGTCCGTAAGAGTTTAGGACCCAGCAGCCTTGGGCTGTGTCTGTGTTTGCATTTGCACGAGAAGTACAGGCTGTGCTGGAGGCAAAGAGCTGATAATCAGGAGATGGTCTTCACTTATAAAAGTGATGCATGACAGCCCCACCTTACAGGCTTGGCATTTACACAGGACGTTCACAAATGTCACTGCACAAAAATCCTGCCAGCACCGCAGATGTATTAATTTATTAGTTTCCTCCATTGTTTTGCTCCTCATTTATGTCTTTTGACTGCAATGCATTTATTTTTTTCTTCACTGAACTCTTTAGTAGCTTAATATTGTACAGGTTAAGAAGATAGTTTTGGACATGGCACTATGCATTATCCTTTCAGACCACCTTTTACATATGTGGTAACTTTATCTTACTATGCCTGAGTGAATGATTAGGTTTTGCTCCCTTATTTTTAAACTGAAAATACTTTCCCCAATTTTAAAATTATACACATTTGTTGCAAAAAAATATTTTAAGATATCTAATGCAGATAATTATAAGAAGAAAGGTACTGCCATTTAGAGATAAGTACCATTAACATTTTGTAGTAAATCAGTTCATCTGCATATGCTCATGCAAATTTACACAAATAAAATGTTTTCATATATATTCTTGTCGCTTGACAACATGTGCGGATGTACATTTAAGTCAGTACGTAGGACTGCATTATCATTTTTAGTGGCTGTGTATTACTAGTCTTTTGAAGAATAAAAAAGACCATGATTAGACATAATTATTGTGTTTACACCTATTTAAGATCTGATTAGATTCCTTTGAATGCATCACAACATTAGACAATTTCAAATTCCCACTTCAATGAAAGTTTTTATCTTTTGTAGGTAATATAGTCTCGACAGAAATATATATGATAAAATAGAATAATTGCATGTATTTTATATGATGGGAGTAAGAAATACACACAAGCATACACGATGCTTTTATTTTTAATTTTTTATTAAACAGAATTATTTTTCCAGCATGACAACTGCAGGTAATTTGCTTTTAGTCAGAGAATGTCAATGGTCTCTTGAAAGCTTTCTTTGTGAACATCTCAAAATAGTTTGGTTCGTTTAAGTAGTCTGTGCCTATAAACACCAAACATTCAGTCAATTTATTACAAAGTTGGTCAAACATTGAAATGTTCAGCAGATTTTTTGTTTGAGCTCATTATGAGCGAGGCATCATGTGGACACATTCTGAGTAAATGGGAACAGAGGGAAATAGAATAACTCCTTGAAGTCTTCTATTTACTCTCCAATACCTATCCTAAAATATGTATGCCTCTAACATGGACAACATCATATAAAGTGTGACACACTGGGGGAAAGACTAAACGTAAAAACAAGCTGCCAAAGATTCATTGTTTCTACCCACAATCAATACTTTCCGGCCACTATGTCATTATCTATAAAAGGAGGAAAATGTCTCAAAGGAACACTGTAAGGATCAAACATGATAATGTCAATAGCTAGTACTTCATATTTTAATTATATTCAGAAAAGATTCTTTAAGTGCCTACCATGTTTCAGGCTTGGTGAAAAACAAAACAAATTTTATTTCTGTAGCATATCATAGCATACAGAGGACTATCACATATATGATCTCATTTTTTTACTAAAACTTGGGAGTCACTGCTGCAATTATCATCCTCGTTTTACAATAGAGGAAACTGAATTTCAAAGGCAAAAAAATAATACTTTAAACTTGCAAAGCTTGCTAAATTTTAGAGTTGAAACTCAACCTCAAATTTTCTTATTCCTGGATTCAGGAATAATGTTCAAGCACCTAAGCTTAGCAAGATCTTGAAACAACATGATGAGTGCCTTCAAAAATGAATTTACAGATGCTTAGACATTTTCTTTTTATGACCATCTCTTCGATGAAAGTGTGACAGTTAAGTGCAATGGAAACCTGTGGAGGTGTTTCTCTAAGTGCTTTAGCTGCTTAAAGCAAAAATCATGGTGCTTGGTGATCTGAGGAGCCGAACTGTGAGACAAGGAAAATGTAGAGTTTTGGAAGTATGGAGTGGAGTTTGAGGTGAGGTTTGTACATCCACAAAAAGACACCAAATAGGCAGGTGAAAATGTGGTTTAGAGCTCAGAAGAGATGCTTGAGCTAAAGTTGTGCAATGTGAAACTCATACATCTGAGTTAGCACCTGGAGCTGTTGGCATTGGCGGCGAGATGGCTCTATGAAAACCTTCTTGGTGCTCACATATATCCAGAAGTAAAAAGAGGAAGAGCAATCAAAAGAAAAAAAAAAGGAAGAAGAAGAAGAAGGCTGGGTACAGTGGCTCACGCCTGTAATCCCAGCACTTTGGGAGGCCAAGACGGGTGGATCACGAGGTCAGGAGATCAAGACCATCCTGGCTAACACGGTGAAACCCCGTCTCTATGAAAAATACAAAAAAATTAGCCAGGCGTGGTGGCGGGCGCCTGTAGTTCCAGCTACTCCGGAGGCTGAGGCAGGAGAATGGCGTGAACCTGGAGGCGGAGCTTGCAGTGAGCCCAGATAGCGCCACTGCACTCCAGACTGGGCAACAGAGCGAGACTCCATTTCAAAGAAAACAACAAACAAACAAACAAAACAAAAAAGAGAAGGCTTTAGAATGGTGCTCAGAGAAGGAAGAAAACTCAATTCTACAATGTAATGCGAGGATGTGGGGAGACTACTGCAACAGGGCATGGGGGCCATGAAAAAAGAAACTAGTACATATTAACTGTCTACCATGGCCTGATGTGGCGCTGGGCACCATCATGCAGTTACCTTTCACATGCATAATCTTGTTTAATTTTCCCAATTATCTTGCGAAGTCCACTAGTGCTTGGAAAGTTTTGATAATTTGCCCACGCGCACCTCATTAGTGCTGGAACTGTGCAGTTAAGATATGTCTGACTCTAAAGTCCATGCTCAACAGCATTAAATCCATGTGCAGAAATCCACAGAAAATAAGTGAAAGAAGGAGATGAGATCATTGGTATCTTCGGGTGATAGCTGTCTCAGTAGAAAGAAAGAGAAGTTTAGGTGGAAAAAAAAAGCAGTAAGGAAACAGAAGCAATGATTATAGATTATGCATTCCTTAAATGTGACTCTGAATGCAAAGAGAGGAATGTATGTCATTCCCAACAAGAACAGTTGATTATCTTTTAATTATTTCGAAACAATTCAGAAAATCTAGGAAATAGGGAGTCCACTAAAGGGAGGAGAGTGGATTATCTTGAGGCTCATATGACAATCAATTTAATGTTATATAAATTTAAAGGGAATGATTCTTTTAGCACTACCTTTTCTCTTCTAATATTTACTTTCCTCCTGCTATTTTTGTACCATGAACAACTCAATTTCTTTTCTCTAACAATCTTGTTTTGTTTTGGAGACAGGGTCTTGCTCTGTCGCCCAGACTGGAGTGCAGTGGTGCCATCATGGCTCACTGCAGCCTCGACCTCTCAGGTTCAAGCAATTCTCATGCCTCAGCCTCTCAAGTAGCTGTGATTACAGGCATGCACTACCATGCCAGACAATTTTTGTGTTTTTAGTAGAGACAGTGTTTCACCATGTTGGCCAGGCTGGTCTTGAACTCCTGGCCTCAGGTGATCCGCCTGCCTTGGACTCTCAAAGTGCTGGGATTACATGATGAGCCACCACAGCCAGCCCACAATCTTTTTTAAATTAATTCAAATTTTTAGCTCTAAAAGGCTCTTCTTGAAAATGTGTTAAAATTTTATATTATTATTCTCATTCAAGCTCCTAAATGCTCACCTGATTTGCAGGAACTGCCTGCAAGCCTGAGGTTGGCATTGATAAGGAAAGACGTTGAGAAAGGATGTGTGTACAGAGCTGGGACAGTCACTATGGTGTGCTTGCTGCATCCAGCTATGATGTGTTTTGGTGGCTGTGAATCATCAAGAGCAGAAGACACCCCTCAGTGGGACTGCACATTATGGACAGTAATAATGCTTCTTCCTCAGCTTTCTTCGCATATTTCTTTTCCCCAGTAAGTCAGCCCAGGGTCAAACACTGAATTGACAGGCAAGGACGTCAGCAAGTGGATCCAGGTCTGCTTAATGCAGGAGCTTATGTGAGCACGGTAGCATCTGGAGTCCTGGGTTGAGGCCATCTCCAAATGTTCCCCTAGAAAAGCCACAGCACCTGAAGATGTGATGACAGAGAAAATTGTGGCAAAGGCTCTGCAGCCCATTGAGATTATGGAGTGATATTCTGAAGTGATCTTACAGTAATGGAGCCACCTACCTGCTGCCCAGAACATGGCCAGTGATTCTTTGCCCTACAATTCTGAAGGTAAGTCTGCCAAGCTCTGGCAGAGCAGAAGGAATGTCACAAGGATCTGCCAAGTAAAGCATGGCAGTGAGGCCCACTTCTATGTGTGCCAAGGATGTCAGCCTGTAGCAGAAGGTAGGGGGCCAAGACAAGCCTTGTGCAAAAGCTATATAAATAGCGACACGATTTTGTGGCACCAGGTTCTAGATATGTTAGGATTAGGTGAACTTGGTTAAAGCAGAGTCATAGTCTTTTTTGTTTTATTTTGCTTTTTGTCTTAATTTTGTTTTGTTTCTTGTGTTCCACCTTTGCCTGTTACACATGGGCTTTCTGTATCTGCATTTTGTCTTGCTTTGTTTTAAGTTGACAAAAACAGCTATTTTTTTTTATTCACCCTATTTATTTATTATTTAGTCACCCTATTATTATTATTATTTAGTCACCCTATTATTCCCAAATCAAAGTAAAAATAAAAATAAATGATGATATTCAGCTTCGGGCTGGAGTCAAATTGGGCAATGTTGCATTTTCTGTATCTTTCTAGTTCCCTTTAAACTGAAATATATTATGTGTAACAAGAGAGAAAGATTAATAATAAAGTAGAAATCAAGTAAAGGAAGGTCAAATTGACTTATTTATCACAGTCTGTCAAAGTAGTGATTGATATAAAATTTGGAAAGACTGTTAGAAATTTGTGAGGGAAACCAGAATATATTTCAAGATAGAATTAGAAATTAGTGAAGAGAAATATTAGGCTTGTAACATTTCAAAGGGTCATTTTATTGTTGTTCTTCTTTCTTTCACTATGATTTTTATTTTAACTGTTAACTGTATTGGCACTTTTCTTTTGCCCACTCTAGTCTAGTTCAGTCCTGAATTTATAAAGAGATGATTCCAGTTCCGTCCTCAAGGATGCATCTTGTGGTTCGTTTGACAAGTCTTTGTATCCTTTAGAAACTTTGAATAATTGATGCTTAGTAAATACTTTTTGGAAAGATAACCATGTGCAGGGAATTGACGGAATGGTGCATGAGTGTTCTCCAGAGAAATAGAACCAGTAGGAGATATATCCTATTGCTTCTCTCTATATATATGGACATAAGAGAGGATTTATGGTGGAAATTGACTCACAAGATTATGGTGGCTGAGAAATTTCAGGATATGCCATCTGTCCACTGGAGGCCCATGAAAGCTAGTGGCATCATTCAGTCCTAGTCTGAAGACTCAAGAACCTGGAGCTACAGTGTCCAAGGACATAAGAAGATGGATGTTCCAGCTTAAGGAAGAGGGAATGAGAGTTTGCCCTACTTTCACTTTTTTTGTTCTCTCTATGCAGGCCCTCAACCAATTGGATGAGGCCCATCCACAATGGGGATCTTCTTTACTCAGTCTGCCAATTCAAATGCTAATTTCTTCTAGAAACACACAGACATACACAGAAATAATGTTAACCAGCTATCTGAGCAACCCTTAACCTTGTCATGTTGACATAGAATAAACCATTACACATGGCTTCATTGAGTGGCCCTCCAGATAATTACTGGGGACATCTTACTTGTTCCCACCACTTATATTTCCTTTTTCATCTCTGCTCCTTCTCTCTCCTACTTCTTTCTCTCTTTCCTCTCTCCCTCCCTTCATTCCTTTTCCCTTTTTTCTTTTTTTGATTCTTTTTTTTCTGCTTCCTTCCTTCCTTCCTTCTTTCCTGTTTTCCTCTCTTTTCCTATCTGCTTCTTTCTTTTTCTGTCTTGCTTTGAAATACTTTTTGCTCATTTGCCTATAATTTACTTGTTGGTTTCTAAAATTTAGATGAACATTATATAGTATTACTAGGGGTCACAGGGGCTGAAGTGGTGGTCCAGTGTCGAGGATAAACCACTCACAATCATAACTGGGGTGACCAGCATTTTCATAGCTGTTTGTCTGGAGTGGGTTTTCTATGATCAGTCAGCATCCTAGATCTCTGAATACATTTGCCTCAATGTATTCTGTAAGCCATTTACATTTGGATAAATATCCACACAGGAATTCTGAAGTGATTATGAAAATTGAAACAATACAGGGCAAAATGACACATTTTACAGGGGATAAGACTCTACTAATGGCACAGTATAATCTATTCATCGTATTATGGCCCTGTGTTCTCTAAGGAGTGTCTGAAATCTATGAGATACTTCTATATCCAAATTTACATTGGTCTCGCAAAAATCTCTCTGAAGGCATTAATTGCAAAATAGATCAAGGTTTTTCCTCGATTTCATTCTACTTGCCGCAAGTGCTCTGAGAGATTACATTTCTCTGGATGAAGTCAATGAAGCCCTGAGATTAACATTCACCCAGGAGGGGTGATCAGCCCCCGGAGAGCTTGGTCTATGCACTTTGAATTTTACAGGCCAAGGAAAAGAGCCTATAACTCAAAAGCTCACAAGCAGGATCTACCCAAATTTGTCCTTGTCTCTAGTTCTGCTTTTTTCCTGAAGTTTTTTTTCTTCCCTTTCTGCCTCTTCCCTTCTTGCCACCTTTAGCATGACCACTCCAGTAAGGACGTGAATGATAAGAAAGCAAAACAACCTTATTGCTAATGCAGAGAAAGTTTTAATGGTCTGGATAGGGGATCAAACTAGCCACAACATTCCCTTAAACCAAGCCTAATCCAGAGCAAGACTCTAACTCTCGTCAATTATATTAAGGCTGAGAGAGGTGAAGAAGCCACAGAAGAAAACTTTGAAGTTGGTTCATGAGGCTTAAGAAAAGAAGTCATCTCTGTAACATACAAGTACAAGGTGAAGCAACAAGTGCTGATGTATTTTGATAAATTTAATCAAGCCAGCTTGTGTACAGGCATATCATATTTTATTGCACTTTATAGATATTGCATTTTTACAAATTGAAGGTTTGTGGCAACCCTGCATTAAGCAAGCCTATCAGTGCCATTTTTCCAACAACACATGTTCCCTTTAGGTCTCTGGGTCACATTTTGGTAATTCTCAGAATATTTCAAACTTTTTCATTATTATTGCATCTATTATAGTGATTTGTGATCATCAATTTTTGATATTACTATTGTAATTTTTTGGCAGTGCCATCACCCACACCTATATAAGACAGTGAACTTAGTCAGTGAATGTTGTGTATGTTCTGACTGCTTCACTGACCAAACATTCTCTCTTCTGTCTCCTGCTCCTCAGGCCTCCCTATTTCCTGACACACAAAAATACTGAAGTTAAGCCAATGAATAACCCTACAATGGCCTCTAAGTGACCAAGTGAAAGGAAGAGTCACATACCTGTCACTTTAAATCAAAAGCTAGAAATGATTAAACTTGGTGAGGAAGGCATGTCGAAGCTAAGATAGGCCAATAGCTAGGCCTCTTGCACCAAACCATTAGCCAAGTTGTGAATGCAAAAGAAAAGTTCTTGAAGGAAATTTAAGGTACTATTTCAGTAAACAAATTAATAATAAGAAAGCAAAAGAGCCTTATTGCTAATGCAGAGAAAGTTTTAGTGGCCTGGATAGAAGATCAAACCAGCCACAACATTCCCCTAAGACAAAGCCTAATCCGGAGCAAGACCCTAACTCTCTTCAATTTTATGAAGGCTGAGAGAGAGGAAGAAGCTACAGAAGAAAACTTTCAAGTTGGTTCATGAAGCTTAAGGAAAGAATCCATCTCTACGGCATAAAATTGCAAGGTGAAGCAGCATGTGCTGATGTAGAAGTTACAGCAAGTTATCCAGAAGATCTAGCTAAGATCATTGACAAAAGGTGGTTACAATAAACAGATCTAAAACCGTCTTATATCAAAAGAAAATGCTAGGTAGGATGTTCATAGCTAGAGAACAGAAGTCAATGCCTGGCTCCAAAGCTTCAAAGGACAGGCTGGCCCTCTTGTTAGGGGAGTAATGCAGCTGGCGATTTTAATTTGATGGCACCATCCATTTACCTTTCCAAAAATCATAGCCCCCTAAATAATTATGCTATAGAAATCCTATCTGTGCTATATAAGTTAAACAACAAAGCCTGGATGACAACACATCTGTTCACTTCATGGTTTACTGATCATTATAAGCCCAGTGCTGAGATATGCTTCTCAGAAAAGAAGATTTCCTTCAAACTACTGTGCTCCTTGACAATGCACCTGGTCACCCAAGAGCTCTGACGAAGTTGTATAAGAAAATTAATTCTGTTTTCATGCCTGCTAACCCAACACCCTTTCTGTATTCCAAGGATCAAGGAGTAATTTTGACTTTCAAATCTTATTAGTTAAGAAATATATTCAATAAGGCTATAGTTGCCATAGACACAAATATTGATTAGATTCCTCCAATGGATTTGGGCAAATTAAATTGAAAATCTCCTAGAAAGGATTCAGTATTCCGGATGCCATTAAGAACATTTGTGATTCATCAGAGGAGGTCAAAATATCAACATTATCAGGAATTTGGAAAAAGTGGATTTCAACCCTCATGGATGACTTTGATGAGGGGTTCAAGACTTCAGTGGAGGAAGTAACTACAGATTTGATAGAAATAGCAAGAGAACTAAAATTAGAAGTGGAACCTAAAGATGTGACTGAATTGCTGCAATCACATGGTAAAACTTGACTGGATAAGGAATTCCTTCTTATGGATAAGCAAAGAAATTGGTGTTTTGAGATGGAATCCACTCTTGGTGAAGATGCTGTGAACATCGTTGAAATGATAACAAAGGACTGAGAATATTCTAGACACTTAATTGATAAAGCACTGGCAAGGTTTGAGAGGATTGACTCCAACTTTGAAAGAAGTTCTACTGTGGGTAAAATGCTAGGAAACAGCGTTGCGTGCTATAGAGAAATCTTTCATGAAAGGAAGAGTCAATCAATGCTAAAACTTCATTGTTGTCTTACTTTAAGAAATCACCACAGCCACACCAGCCTTCAGCAACTGCCACCCTGATCTGTCTGCAGCCATAGATATTGAGGTGAGACCTTCCACCAGCAAAAACATTACAACTGGATGAAGGTTCGGATAATCTTTACCGATAAAGTATCTTTCAGTTAGGGTATGTACATTGCTTTTATTTTTAACATACTGCTATTTCACACTTAATAGACTACATTATAGTATAAACATAACTTTTATACACACTGGAAAACCAAAGCATTTATGTGACTTGCTTTATTGCAATATTTGCTTTATTGTAGTGACCTGGAAGAGAACCTGCAATATCTCTGAGGTATGCTCGTGTATAATACAAAATTTAGGAGCTCTTGAAACCTTGTTATTTTTGCAAATAATGACAATAATTATACATCGTAGAGCAATTTGGTAGGTACAATTTTTCCTAATATAATATGTATCTGAAACCCAATAAGTGGCACAAAGTGACAGACCTGAGAGAGATGTCAGTAGTACATGACAGGTCCATCTCCAAAACTGAATCCAATCTAAGTAGAAAGGTATTTCTGACAAAATTCTGGAAGTTGATTTTACCCCCACTGAGCATGTATTGTTGAAACTCAGTGACTTGCTTCATGAAATAGACTCTGAAAATTCATCAACTTTAGCAATCATTTGGCTGATGGTGTTCAAGAAGTTACATTTTTTTGTAAAGGAGAATCACTCATCTTTAACACTCAGACTCTTCCAAGTAATAGTGAAAAATTGATATTGAAAACGCTAGAGAATTAGACATGTTATGAGCATTATCTACAAGCTCTAGTTTTCCTTGTGAAGCTGTTGGAATGACTGTGGGCATGGTGAAGAGAGATGCAGGTAAGGCTAACTAGATGTTAATTGTTGATGGGGGGAGTGGGGCGGGCTGAAGGAAGTCACTCATCCTTCCTGGTACTCAATTTCCTTCTTTGTAAACTAGATTAGTGTTTCTCAGATTTTTACATTTCATTATCCAGTAGCAATGTAATAGGATGCTAAATATAATAGGGTTATCAACTTTGAGTTTTGCCAACTAAGGACATTAAAAAGTTGCCATCTACTCTCACCATAATTTTATAAAGGGTAGGAAACCTTAGCACCAAAAAAGTTATTAAACCTAACTTTAGAAAATCTTTCCACAAAGTTCTTTTTTTTTTTTTTTTTTTTTTTTTTTTTTTTTGACATGGAGTTTTGCTTTTGTTGCCCAGACTGGAGTGAAATGGTGCAATCTCATCTCACTGCAACTTCCGCCTTCCAGGTTTAAGGGGTTCTCCTGCCTCAGCCTCCTGAGTAGCAGGGATTAAAGGCATGCGCCAGCACTCCCACTAATTTTTTGTATTTTTAGTAGAGACAGGGTTTCTCCAGGTTGGTCAGGCTGGTCTTGAACTCCTGACCTCAGGTGATTCGCTCACCTTGGCCTCCCAAAGTGCTGGGATTGGAAGCATGAGCCACCACGCCCAACCCTCTACAAAGTTCTTATTTTTCTAGGACTTTATCACTGACCCAGTGTGGGTCCTCGGAACATCATTTGGGAGTCCTGGATATTTACAGCCCTGATTTTTATACATGTTAATGGCTATGGTCTGAATGTTTATTTCAGCCACCAAAATTCATATGTTGAAATCCTAGCCCTCATGGCGATGGTGTTGGGAGATGGGGCCTTTGGGAGGTGATTAAGTTATGAGAGCAGAACCCTCAGGAATGGGATTAGTGCTCTTATAAAAGAGGCCTAATGTTTGCCCCTTTCATCATGTGAGGACACAGTGAGAAGGCACCATCTATGAACCAGGAAACAGGCCCTCACCAGTCACTGAGTCTGCTGGTGCCTTGATCTTGAACTTCCCAGCCTCCAGAATTGTTGGAAATAAATTGATGTTGTTGTTTATAAGCCATTCAGTTTATGGTATTTTATTGTAGCAGCCCAAACAGATGATAACCCAAAACAAAAATTAGGTAGATGTAGTCTTCAAATTCTGTATGACTCAAAGCTTATTACTCATCTATTTTCTGCCATTTACTATTTCTTCATCAAGTTCTTAAGACATTCCATTTTGAGAAATGCATTTTTAAGCTTTCCTTCCTATTTCACAGATATCACCAAAATGTAGGTTTACTAATTTTTTTCTCTACCCCAAACGCATTCTTTCTTATTTACTGAACTTTTATTTGATTACAACAAAGAAAACACACACACACACAAAACCTCACACTCATTTCAACTGCTTGATTGTCATACGTGGCTGAGAGTTACAGGACAGAAAGTCCTATTAGAGCTTTTTAAAGAGTATAAACAGAATATTAATTTTCTTTTTTCTACCTACAATTACTGAGTGAGGAGTTAGAGAAGAAGAAAAGAACTTATAAATTTTGCACAGTCACCAGCTGAATTGTAGTCAAAAGTAGGTAGATTTTGTTTAGGAGATTTTCTTGGTGTAGATCTTTGTGACTGTGCTCTGACATTCTTCTAGTATATTGGTTTGGCTACTTCTTTCTTCTTACGTAATACAACAAGAACAAACATATTTTATAATTTTGGTTTCTTGACATCCAGATTCAGATTCAGTTCTGGGCTCTCATATTATATGGGAGTGAAGGGTTTTTGGAAACAGCTGGTCTGTTTGGAATACCCTGCTTTCCTCCTTCCAGCCATCCTTCCCTGCCACCTCCCCATTCAGTCTTCATTTACTCAGTCTCACAGGCAAGCTTGCCAAACGGCCTCAAATAAGCTCCATCTGCTCACTACCTAATCTCTATTTAAATCAAGCTAAATAAACACTTTTTTTCTGGGAGAACTGGGCACATTTCTGTAGTAGGATTGTATGGAAACACCTCTCCTCACATCTTCCACAGCATTCGTTTGTGGAGTTTGTTTTTCTTTAAGGCCTTTTCAGGCTACACTGTAATTAGCACTGCAGCTTTTGCTTATTTTTGAAATGATTACCCAACACAAAAAAAAGAAAGGCAAAGTTTGTGGTTATTTGGTTAATTCAGGCAGTGGAGTCAGCCACAGCAGATAATTATGTTTCTCTTAAAGAAATCATTCAGAGAATGAATTACTCTGTGAAGTTACCTGCATTGATCTCATCCATCAGATACTGGGCCCTCTATTCAGTGCTTTCTAGAAAAAAAAATCTACATCTCTATTACCTTCCACACCTGGCGTTCCCAACCTGTCCATCCCTCCCCTCCTGTCTCTTTTTACTTCCCCAAAAAAATCAAGGAAAGTGAAACTAAGGTTACTGTTGTTTTAATGGTCATTCTGAAACCTGACATTGTTTTCCTGGAAATTGTTCAGTGCTCTGCCATTTCTAGATGGATAGGAGGGGATGTGATCAAAATCAAAGAGTGGAGCCGAACTAAGGGCTAATATCTAATAAATCTTGAATTTCAATTTGCAATATATTTATTAATCACAAAAATCTTTGACAGAAAGTCATGCATGCCCATGCTCATGGGTGCCTAATTTTTTTGCAGAGAGTATTGATGGTAACTTCTTCTGGTCCAAAGGGAGTCAATTTTAGTAGCAACAATAAAACGTCATGAGAGGTTCCTTTTTTATTTTCTGACTTTTAAAACAAAATCCAAAACATCTACGTCATCCCCAAACTTCAAATGTACCCAATTCTTTATTTGCTGTTTTCTTGATACTATAGTTTTTCTTAAGGCTTATACAGATTCTTTCTGGTCTCAAAGGAGCATTGCTCAGTTCTGCTCTGGGCACACGTGGTATTCTGCTTTCTTGGGTTTATACCCTTCGAGATATTTTTAGATGTCACTGGCAAATTTGATTCCTGATTTTTTTCTTTTTCAGTTCCTTTTCTATACAAAGTCTGTTCCCCAACTAGTTATTCACATATTCATGGCCTATAAAGATAACTGCTTGATATGGTTTAGATCTGTGTCCCCACCCAAATTTCATGTAGAATTGTGATTCCTAATGTTGGAGCTGGAGCCTGGTGGGAGGTGATTGAATCATGGGGCAGTTTTCTCACGAATGGTTTAGCAGCATCCCGTTGGTGCTGTCCTTGTGATAGAGTTCTCATGAGATCTAGTTGTTTAAAAGTGTGTGGCACTTCCCTCCCTCTCTCTTCCTCCTGTTCCAGCCATGTGAAGTGCTCACTCTCCCTCTGCCTTCCACCATAATTGGAAGCTTACTGAGACCTCCGCAGAAGCAGAAGCTATTGTGCTTCCTATATAGCCTGCAGAACTGTGAGCCAATTATATACCTCTTTACTTTATAAATTACCCAGTCTCGGGTATTTCTTCATAGCAGTGCAAGAACAGACTAATACACTGCTGTATTTCAACATGGTATTATTTACACTCAATGTTCCATTTGTGAGAACAGAAAAATATTCCTGGTAATTTTCTCCAACTATTCCACCAGCAGAGGCTTCACATGTTCTCCTACAAAAGCCTCTCTTAGTGTCATTGTGAATAAGAGGCCACATTTACCTAGTATAATACCATGTCTTAAACTTCAGGTGATTGATAAAAATAAAGTCATTGCTCCTTTTATTTTATTTGTTTATTGTATTGATTATTAGAAGAAGTATGCTTAATGACAAGAAGACTGATAATTCCTTGCACTTGAATATTTCCTGTGGCATGGAAAAAGCATGGATGTTACTATCTATTAGAAGATGTGGCTCCAGTTCTGGCCTTGCCACTTTCTGGCTGTAAGACGTTGGATGTTAATTAGCCTCTCTGACTTGATGACTCATCTATTCAGAAAAACAAACATATAATCATCTATAACTCACAGGGCTGTGAATCAAAAAGACGGTGTTCTTCGAGGACAAGAACTATCTTTTCATCTTGGTATCTCCAGCACCCAGTGCATTGCTAACCAAAAAAAAAGTAGGAACTCAATGAAATGGTAGTCTGAATCAATGAGAAAGTAAAAGGATGGATGACTGAACTAGTTAATGGACATGAAGACATTACTATATAGAGATAAAGAGAAGTTGTTTTATTTTATCAAAGCAAACAGGACAAAGTTTAGTATAGAGGACTGAAAGTCTTACAAGGAAGTTGAAAGCCACTGTGGCTTTAGGCACTTTTGTTTTCTAATTAACCCATAAAAGCGAGAGTTGAAACCAGTAGCAGTCTTGATTACAATTTTTCAAAGTATTTCTTGAATTACTGATAATGTCAATCACCATTATAACAACAACAATAACATTAAGAGAACACTTACATTGTGCTGGGCACTCTGCTAAGTGTTTAAGGTGCTTTATTTCATTTTATCTTCAAAAAGAACCCTAAGAGGTAGACACCAACATATTCCTTAGATATTAAAAAAATTAAGTGACATAACTAAGGTCACACAGCCAGCACATGGCCAAGCCCCTGCTGAATGCTATTTCCTTATCATGACTTCAAAGCCACACTGTAATAAAATATTTGGTTTACTGGCCTCATTTGCTTGACAGACATTACAGGAGAGCATAGTCTATGTTCTATTCCATTTTAAGTCCTCAGAATGCAGATGGTGCCTGGCCAACTGTGTACTTGAATGTTGAATGAACTAATTGGTGGTTCGGCCCATACATAAACTTTGTTTTCAGGCATCCCAGAGGCCTCTGTTGAAGGAGTTCTGTGTTTCTTTATCTTCCCTTCTTGTTCCTCTATCCCAGCCCAAGACTTACTGCCCCCACTGACCCTTTGGCCAACCAAACTTCTGGTTTTCTTGGCAAGACCAGTTTTGGAAATCTCAAGTCCAATCTATAATTTTTTTTAAAAACCACATATAATTTATTCCACTCTAAAATTAATATCTTCCTTTTATTATGCTTCATTTTTCTATTTCAAGGCAGTCTTATGTTGCAAACCACTTTTGGATCATGATTTGTAATGTGTATGTGAGTTTGAGGTGTACATGCTCACAGAAGATGTTTCTTTTTTTCTGCAGCAACTCACAGACCAAATCTATTAAATTTGGACCAGAAAGAGCATCCTCTTACTAAAGACTCAGCCTGTAAACTGGAAAAAGAATCACGACTATTTTGGGGAGCAGCTGCCCTCAGAATTCTGATCATCCATCTTTAATTTTTTTTAATGACTAGATTGCAGATGACTTCAATCTTGCCCATAGGGATGCTGTGTTCCATTAACTGTCTCCATACATCTCTACAGATCAAGCTTTTCTGGCTGCCCCTCTGACTTTGCTGCTCATTATGAAATTGTGCCCACTTGGCTTCCCATTGTTAAGTACTGTCTCCTGGCCCCTAATATGGGATCCTGTCATCCCCATTGCTATCAGGAAGCCCAGTTCTATAAAAGTATTTCCAAAGGCTAGTCCAGGCCAATAGAGAATAGCCATCACTGTGCATCTCAAAGATGAGGGTGCCTCTCTCACCAATGCATTTCTTACTACTTTGGTAAGTGGAATATTTGCCAGGTTCTCTCTTGAAACAGAGTTGGCTACTGGACCTTCCAGCCTTATCTGCTGTATCCTCTTCAGTGTGCCTTTTCTGAGGCTTTGAGACCTTTTTCCACTGTCAGTCATGGCAGCTCTGGCATTTCTACTTCACTAAGCTTGGGCTGTCCATCACTGTCTCCTAGCTTCCAAGAGACATCCTATCTGAAAATTTCCCCAGTCTCCTGGTGACTTTGCCAGGGTATGTATTCCTGTATCATGAGGCAGTACTAACATATTGACAAAATGTTCCTTTTCTAACTTTCGTTCTGCTTCCCTTGATCAGCATCCGCATTCCCTTACATTACTCCCCTGGCTGGATTCTACAGCTTCTTTGTGGGATAGCCCCTTTCTCTCTTAGCAGACTCAGAACTTCCTCACTTGTATTAAGTTTTGACGTAACCACAGTTATTTTTCTGTGACCAGAAAGAGAGGTGAGGGTACATCCTGAAGGGAGTTCATAGTGTCTTGCAAGTCAAGACCCTCTGAATCATCTGCAAGCAGGGAAGAGGAGAAGCTAGCCTTTCACAGGGAGAAATCAGCCACTTCTGTGGAACGAGAAGGTATAGAAAGATTTGGGAGTTCAAGATTCTTTAGTGCATTGTCCCAGATTCCCCATCCCAATTTCAGAGTTTCATTCTTTTCCAATGAACACCCTAACCTTGGCTTGGCTAAATTGCTGAAGTTGAAAATTCAACTGTCTCTGGAATTCTGCTACTCTTGTAATGACGTTAGGGGCCTGATCCTCACCTTTCTCTGCTCTCTGGTTGCAGATGAAGATCTCTTTGTTTGCTGCCAAGGAGACCATCTGGTTTTCACACTTCATCTTGAATTGTTGATTCATCATCCTCAGCCTGTCATTATCTTTCTCCAATGCATCACTTGGCCCCAGCAACAATTTTCTAATTCTATAATTCTTTTATAAGCACTTCCCCAAACCTGGTTTGCCAGCTATGAAAGCTGTAACAGTTGTACCACTACAGCATGCCAGAGCTATCACTACCCCACTTACTAGGTGATGGGATGTATATTGCCAATCATCCAGTTCCAAAATGCCATTTAGTTTCTCCCTCCTAATGTCACTCCTGATACCCTATTGCATATCAGGTTTCTTGGAAAACAGACTTATATAGAGGTTTGCATTCAGGAAGTTCACTGGGGATCCCTCTCAGGGGCCACACCTGTGGGTGCATGAGTGAGGTAAGATTGAACAGAGAGAAGAGTCAAATTTGGAGCCATCACTTCATAAGTCTCGGGTGATCCCATAGTGAGCTGTCAAGCTGGGACAGTTTTTTATATTTGTCCCACCTTAAAGCAAGGGAGTAAGAGCTTTACACTCTTCCCTCAACCAGCTGCTCCTGGGAAGTGTGCTTCAGTGTAGACAAAACAGTTCTCTTCAGCTGAGAGCAGTTCTGAGAAAGAATGCATCCAGTACTCCCAGAGGCTAAGGGCAGGAGGGCTGGTCCTGAAGGGATCTGGGCAGCACACATTAGCCACTTGTAGATTCCTTTACGTAGGTAATATGTCTCACTCATACTCATAAAGTCAGCTCCTAGCATGGTGCACCTGACATATAGCAGTATAAAATACATGTGGTTGACTCAATGAAGGTATGTGGGATGGTGAGGGAAAGAAATAGACAGTGAGATGGAGATGAAATTTAGACATCTAGACATATTGATTTTAAGAGGCCATTTTGACTGTTTAGTATAGATGTTCAACAAACATATATATACAAATGAGCTTAAATCCAGAGGAAAGTTCATGGTTAAAGCAAGAGTTTGGGGGTCAGAATATAAATGTTATTAGAGCCCTTCTCCTTACTGATAGAACTGTAATTAAACAATAAAAGAATTTCTTAGTCTTGTTTGCAGATGGGTGTAGCTACGTGACAGAATTTTGTAAGTGTAGGTTATGGAGTGGAGATTCTTTCAATAATCCTAAGAAAGGTGACAGATTCAACTACTGTTTGTACTTTTCCTATGTTTCTGAGCCTGAGTATCTGTAGATTGGGCTGTTAGAGCTGCAGCAGTCCACAAAAGAAATGCCAACAGTCAGCAGCCCCCAACATCCCAGCTCAGGAAGGCTGACCTCAGGATTCCATCATACGAAAGAAAAATAAAAGCCTGTCCTGTGCACACCTCTCTTTTCAAATTCCCTATGTGCCAAATGCAATCTATAACTAATGAACTTGGATGAGATAGCCTCAGGAAAGAATTTGGAGTAGGGAAAGCAGATGCTGTGAGAAACTCTGGAGGAAACTAATGTGTGAGGAGTGAGTAAAAGAAGAACAGGCCATGAAGAAAACTAAGAAATCAGCTGTGGATGCAAGAGGAGGCCCTGAAGAGAGTGATATCATTGGCTGGGAGCGGTGGCTCACACCTGTAATCCCAGCGCTTTGGGAGGCCGAGACGGGCGGATCAGGAGGTCAGGAGATTGAGACCATCCTGGCTAACATGGTGAAACGCCGTCTCTACTAAAAATACAAAAAATTAGCCGGGCGTGGTGGCGGGCGCCCGTAGTCCTAGCTACTCGGGAGGCTGAGGCAGGAGAATGGCATGAACCTGGGAGGCGGAGGTTGCAGTGAGCCGAGATCACGCCACTGCGCTCCAGCCTGGGCGACAGAGTGAGACTCTGTCTCAAAAAAAAAAAAAAAAAAGAAAAAGAAAAAGAAAAAGAAAACAGAGTGATATCATTGAAGAGAAAAGCGTGCTAAATATTTTGAAATACGGCAGAACAGACTAATACTAATTAAAAATGCGTCCATTGGATTTGATATTTAGGAATCTATGTAGCTTTAGTGCGCCAATAGAGAAGGTAATTGATACATTCTTACTGGCATTGCTTAATACTGAACTTATCATGATGATTGATTTATTCAACAAATAATTATTGAGCACCAAGCAAGTACAAGGGACTATATGTACAATGATAATCAAAACAGACTGAATGCTTAGAGCCTTATAATTTGTAAAGATGCTTCCCATTCTCATAATGAGAGTGTGAACATTTACAGCTTTGCATTCTTGAAATGCCTGCTTTAAACATCCATCATGAAGTTCTTTAAACAATGACCACAATTCAGCCTATGTGACACAAATACTTACTCACAATCTTTCATACCTCATGGTAACCCAAATCTCTTCATCATTTTACAAATGCTGAAAGCAGCCATGGGGTAGAACTTGTGGTTGTGTCTTAGGGAAAGAGCAATGAAATTGGGTCATAAGGCAGTTATACCTACTCAATCACTCAGACGTGATTGGTCTTGTGCGACTCCATCCATATATATGAATAACTCAAGTGACGGAAAAGATGTGCGTGAATCAAATAACATCTAAATGTGTAGATAATGACAACAGGAATACTTACAAAGTGCTTTTGAAATAGAATAGACTACCCAGACTACCATCGATACATGTGTAACCTAATTTTTTTCATTTTCATTATTTTATCTATTATGTAAACAGTTAATTTGCAGGTCTAAAAATGAATCCAAATGCATAGCAAGTGGCACATCACAGTAACTTAAGCTCACTTTGGCAATTGTTGAATTTCACTTGCAGTGCATAGTAAAACAAAATGTTTCATGAAGTAGGTGTAGTTGCCCACATTTCATTGTGATGTGTGTACAAAAATCATATCCCACTTTAGGAGAATTGGTTGCTGGGCTTGAACTCTTTGACAGAATGAATGGATTTTCACTTGTTCCGCAGGCCACTCAGCACTGCAGATCAGTAACACCATTGATTTAGAGGCAGTTACAAAGCAAGTCAAAGCAACAATAGGAACTGGTTATTACAGGAAGAGAAAAAGAAGGGGGGTGGGGGTGCTGGAAAGATTTTTTTTAAATGAACCAGAAAATACATATTATTTTGCACACTGGGTTTCCTAGCCATAGGTCATAGTGGACAAGAGGAATGATGATGACAAAGAAAGATAAACATATTTCAACTGCTCCTAAGTACCTGTTTGAAATGGATAAGTGAGAATTTGTTTTATTAGGGTCACTATGGTTTCAATTTCTAACTCTTCTAACTCAACAGGAGCTTTCCCAAAGGGCTTCACAGAATACAAATGTGTTTCACAAGTTTTTAAAGATCTTGTTTCCTCAAGGTATTTTGTTGTCTTTGAGAAGTACGGAAGGCTTAGCACGGAGGAAAATTATGGTAGGACAACTTTCCTGGTCAACATTGAGCATTGTTACATGCTTACTTTGATATCTATGCGGGAGTTTTATTGAGTGCTGGTCACAAGCAATTAACAATAAATATTCAAAGAGGAATAGGTAAAATGTAATCATAATTTGGTATGACATACTCAACCTTAACAAATGACTAATATAAGGTATATATACCATATGGTGGTATGCTGTATATACAAATGACCAAAGGCAGAAAGAATTGAGCAAATTTCTTTCTAAAATATGTGTTTCTCTTAATACTTTCGTTAAAGATATTCCTTTAAGTAGATGAATTCAGTGAAATACCTAAAATCTTTAGGCATATCGAGTTTAGATTAACACTGGTTTCAAAGACTTTAAGGGATGCATTAGTGATAAGCCTACAGGTAAGCAAACAAACAAACAAACAAGAAAGACAATTGTTAATTTTAGGGAAAGAAAAGGGTTGCAATAAAGAGAGACTAATCACAGAATCCCATTGTGCTCAGGTGTAAACAGAGCATCATACCCAAAAAAATGCCAATGTGAAATACTTATTACTCAAAATAGTTTATAACTATATCTATGGGATGGGAGGAAGGTGATGGTATGTGTTTGTGTGTGTGTGTGTGTATGTGTGTGTGTATGTTCATACACACACACACGGAGTGGGGGTCAATAAATAATGCCTAACACTGAAAACAAAAATAGCAATATAAGCATACTACCAAGAAATATGATGGTAAGTATTAAGATAAATAGCTAACATTTTTGCAAGTTGTTGCCTCTGGAGAGCAGGAAGGTATTTGGAGACTGAGGTTTTCTTAGTGAGCTCTGGAAAATGATGTGACTCTTTAAAACCTGTAAGTATGTAATTTTGATAAAAATAATGACTTAAATCTAAAAATACATGTTACATCACAGTATGTCATAAAAATATATCCGCTTTTATATATTTAAGAGATTTATAAGGATTAATTACAGTTAATAATTCTTATTTCTGGGGAGTGGGATTATGGCAATGGGGAGAGGAGGGAAGGGCTTTTACATATTTCAGTAGATTTGATTTTTTGAATGAGCATATGTTATTTTTCAGAAGTTAAGTTTCTACATAAATAAAAATGTGTATACATTAAAATGAAAATAAAGCACATTATGAATTAAATAATTTCATTTATATTAGGGCTTATTTGTACACTATCATAAATGATATACATGAATTTCAAAACTCAAAGAAATTGAATTACACATTTATAATTTGGAGACTGGTTTAGGGAAGACATAACAGTAAGATACACAGGAACAAAGTCAGATCAAGTAGCTTATTTGACAAGGTTAAGTGAGATCATTACACACATTGTACATTTTAAAGTGCGCATTGTACATTTCAAAGTGCAGAACCAATGAATGTATAAATTATCACACCTGGAGCAGATGTAGGCAAATAGTAAACCACAAAGAGGCAAATGGCAGCCCAGAGACATGCTCTTTTCAAGATGACCCAGAACCACTCGGAGACTTTTAGGATTGATTATCATTCAAATATATACCCAGACAGCTAAATGCTTGGCATGGTATGTCTTAGTATCAAGTGTAACATTTAAATTAAGTTCAACTTCCCTAAGTTATGATTAATTATTCTGTGAGAAGCATATATGGTTATCTAGGTTGCTCAGAGAACTGATTGAGTACAGCCAAGTTTCTTGCTCTGATCCCTAAGTCAGCTGCCTGGCTTGGTTCTATGCCTTAACTATAGACCTTACTCTCAAACCCAACAGTCTTAGAACCGCATACCCTGGGCCACAAAGGAGATTAGACAGGGAAGTGTGGTTAATCTGTGTAAATCCATTCACTCTATCAGATAAAAGTTCAAATAATGTTCCACTATGTTAGGTAACTAGCAACATATTTATGAATAGGCAACATATTACTATCTCATCTTGACATTGTTTTACTCCTGCTGCTGGGGATTGCAGCTCTTAGAATATTTCTGCTTTTTCCAAGCTAAGGTACTTAGAATCTCAAACTTGGAAGAAACCCAATAGGTCATTTGATCCACTCCACTGCATGATGCAGAACTTTTCTCTACAGCATCGTTGGAAAAATAATTTAGTCTCTGCTTGATCATTACTGGTGACTGACGGGGTGGGTAGTACTCCTCATGTCAAATGGACATTAACTTTACTCTTGGACAGTCATCATTGTTAAAAGTTCTCCTATTGAAGAGCCCAAGGATTCTAGTTTTGTTATCTGGCAGAACATGGAATAATTTTAATCTTTCTCTGATTTGTGTGTAGACCCATGCTCTTATATGCCTTTTCTGTTTCTGACAAAAAAAAACAAAGCACATTTTTTAACCATTTCCAAAGGTCTGCTTTTCATTTTTGTTATGATCTTGATATGTTCCGGGTTGCCAGTTCCTAGCAACACCTTTCCCTCTGAAAAGGTGATAACCTGATCTATAGAAGTCTCAAGATGTGGTCCACCTTGGACGATAACCCTCTTGCTCTCTTCAATTTCTTGCTTGTGTACTTCTATGGAAACACCACAAGGAAGACGCACCACTGGCTGCTGTAATCCCAGTGTGGTTTAAGTTGGTGTCCTGAATCTTACCCTGTCCTTTCCTCTGGGGTATAAAAACCACCAGGGCCAGGGCAATAAATCAAGGACCCAGTTGAAATATCGAGCCTATTTTGAGAAAGTGAATAACTCCAGGATAGCTAACAAGTTATTCTATGAGTCATGTACTTCCAAATTATTGCTGTCAACAAAACTGAGAGAGGAGTTAATCCAGTTATCAAAGGATAGATCATTAGAAACGAGTTTTTATGATAAATTCCCATGCAGTTATGCCATTCAGAAACTGTGAAAGAAATTGGGTGATGTTTTTATAATAAAACTTCTTCCATTCTCATCTATTTATTTATATAAATAGGTTTTCTTAGTGTTTACAACCATAAAAACAAGAAAATCAATAATGCTAAGGCTGAATACTATTTCATTCTAGCAATAAATATTTGTCGATGAATTTATAAAATAATTTTATAAAATCTCAATTTACTTTATCAAGAAATACATATCCACTACAATTTTGCTTTTTATGCCTAATAAATATGTATTTAAATTTGTAATAAATGTATGCTATTTTTGTCAATTATATGCTAATAATAATTGTCAATTCAATCTGGAATATTTTAAACACCGAAAGGCTTATGTTGATAAGAATATTTTTAATTTATATATAAATGTGTATACATATTATTTTTAAACTGTTATAGCATGATTAATAGAAGACTTTGGAACAAAAAATATAAAAAATGAAATATATGAGTTGTCATAAAAAATCAGCAACATAAAATTTCATATGATGAAAGAGGAGCAATTTCCTGTATTTTGTAAATGATTATACATATCAGATTATTAAATTATCTAAAGTCCATTAGATACCTTTTAAATATTGAAGTAACCATTTTGTTTTTAAATGTCAATGTTATCAATATGCCAGAAATTATATTCTTTGGAACTATTTTAAGAATTATATCCTGCAAAACTATGTATGATCAAAATGCATAGTTGTCCAACCAAAACTGTATGAAGGAATATATATATTTTAGGGGGGTGGGGGGCAGGGTCTTGCTCTGTCACCCAGGCTGGAGTGCAGTGGTACCATCACGCCTCACTGCAGCCTCGAACTCCCGGGCTCAAAAGAGCCTCCCACCTCAGCCTCCTGAGTAGCTGGGACTACAGGCATGTGCCACCACACCCGGCTAATTTTTGCATTCGTTTTAGAGATGGGGTTTTGGCATATTGCCCAGGCTGGTCTCAAATTCCTGGGCCCAAGCAATCTGCCCGCTTCAACCCCCAAAAGTGCTAGGATTACAGGCATGAGCAACCACACCCAGTCTCTTTTTAAAAATCAAATTAAACATTTTTTAAATGAAATTTTAAGTTGTTTTTCCCTTTTATGAGCAAAAGAGTTGAATATCACTTCCCCAAGTCTTCCACTAAGAAACCTGTTGCTACTCACTCTGGACTATCTGGCAGGGAAACTATTTGGAGGAGTGTCTCAACCACTTAATCCTTTAGAGCCCTTGGTTGGAGGTGAGGTACTGGGAGCTAAAGCAATACACTTACTAGTCAGGACTGGGTGAAAATGGAGAGATAGGGCAGTGCCAACAATAGTAAAAACAGACTTATATGTAGCTCACCTCATTACTCTTGCATACTGCCATAGACCATGCCTACTAGACTTTCCTAATGGTATGAAACTGATATTTCCCCCATTTACAATATAAGAGTCAAGTATTTGACATTTCCACTTCAGATAAAAAAATGCTTTAAGCATAGTTCCAGCAAAATATATATTTCACCTACTCATATGTGTTTTAAATTGTCAAAGGTTTAATGACTGCCAGAATTTCATTTGTGGGCTCTCCACGGCCAATTTTAGTCATGCTGCACTTAAATGATTGAAACCACTCCTTGCTTATTGATTTTTCATACCATGTGAAATGAAACCCTGTCTCTAGCGGAGTTTTGGAAAAGCAAATAGAGATGCTGCTACAACCTTTGATTTAATTTGAGGGCTTCATTTCCTGCCTGATTGAGCTCATGTACTTTTATGAAAAATTATTCAGCCTCATCAGAATAGCGTTATGAGTCAGTCCTTTGTGGAAAACTAGAGTGAGGGCACAAAGCCTCTCCCACCGAACAGAAAAGGATGTCCGATTTACCAGGGAGAGAATGTGGCCTGGAAGAAATGGGCTCAGGTACGCTCTGCGGAAGAGCAATGGCTTTGTCTTCAGAAAAGGCTGAAGCTTCATTTGGCAACCAATAGAAAAATGACTTTCAGAGATTACTTTGCTTTCACCAAATTTTGCAATTGCTTTTAAATGAAACTTTTCATGACTTCAGCCATTTCTAGGCTTGGCTATATCTGGGCAAGTTCATAGATACAAATTACACATATTTATTATAAGTTCATATAAAAATTGTATCTCTATTAAATATATAATTATATTAAACTATATATCATATATAAATGTTAATATATAATTTATATATGAATATGTACTTGTATATTAATATATAAAATATATATTAGATATATTTCATATATAAATATAGTTTTATATATAAATAAAGTAAAAATATTACATTTTTCTTTTCTTAGCACCAATATAACCACACCATCGCTGGAATTATAAAAATACCAAGAAAATTTCTGTTGATAATGGATTAATGGAATCATAGACTTTTAGAGTTGAACATTTGAGTTTATCCAGTGCCTGGTTCCAGATGAGGTGAACAGAGGCTCAGTGAGTTCCAATTGCCTGGTTAAAGATGATAATGGCAAAACTAGGGTTGGAATCCCAGTTCTGCTACTTCTACTGGCTCTGCTAGTCAACTGTTTTTTATACCCTTTGTTTCTTTCGTCTTTGGGTATGAAAGAAATGTGTTGTTAAAATAATGAGAGTCTTCTCTTCCTCTGGCAGTTCTGTTCATTAGCAAATCTTACCAGACAATTCAACTCCCTTCTTTCCTGCCACTTCCACAGTACGGAACAAAGAACCTAAGTAGTCCCCTTTTAAGTCACCATTGCAATTAGAGGTCCTTATGTTACATAGATCTAGACTATAAAATGCAAATAATGTCTGCCATGGACTCAAGAAAAGACTTTTGCCTTTTTGGATAAAAGATATGTAGAACTACCATTGTCTTTTTCTTTTTTCCTACCTTGAGCACAAATTTGCAATGCAAAGCTGAATCAACCATCTTGGGAAGTGATAAACATGAAGAAATATCCAAGAAAATTATAGAAATGCCCTAACAAGTTTGAGCCACAGAACCATCACCAACAACTGCCTATTTCCAGATTTCTAGTGATACAAGAAAAAAAACCTCCCTTTGTTTAGACACTTTATTTGTATTTTCTATTCCCTGTAGCAAAAACATTCCTTACTAACATTTCTATTTCTCATTTTGTGCATAAATGCATATTCCATAAAGGAGAGCCAAGATACCCACCTTGGAGCCCAAGCTGAGGGTAAGTGTATGCCAAATGGCTTAGGCCACCTGATGGAATTTGGGAAGTGTGTCCTCTGCATCCGCTACCCATCTTTCTGAGTTCTCTGCTTTCAAACTCACTCCCCATAGAGGGTTAAATAGTGACTCCCAAAAGATATGTTCAAATCCTAACCCTTGGTACCTGTGAATATGACTTTATTTGAAAATAGGATATTACAAAAGTAATCAAGTTAAAAATCTCAAGATGAGATCATCCTGGATTTAAGGTGGACTCTAAATCCAATGACTAGTGTTCTGACACGAGAAGGGAGAGGGGGATTTGATACACTCAGTGTCAAAAAGCAATAGGCCGCGTGAAGATGAGGGCTGAGAATGGAGGGCAGCCACAAGCCATGGAACACCAAGGATTGTCAGCAGCCACAGGAAGCTGGGAGAGAGCCATGGAACTGATTCTCCCCCGATGACTTTCAAGGGCGCATCGCCCTGCTGACATCCTGATTTCAGACTTTTACCTCGCGAACTGTGAGAGAATAGAGTTCTGTTGTTTTAAGCCACTGTTTGTGGAAGTTTGTTACGACAGCCCTTGAAAACTAATACACTCCCAAAGATGCGCAGTGCTTCGATGCTGCAGAAGAACAGCCTAAAATAGGAAAGGTGACCTACACTTAACACTTCAGGTGGGAAAAACATGTTGCTAAAATGGTGGGATCCCACGCATTAGTAGGATGCCCTCTAAATCATGTTCAGAGCACAAGCAAGGCTGCTCTGGCAGACTTTTAAGTTTTTCACAAAATCCATACTCTGGAACATAGCATAGGACTGAAAGGACTGGCAATATAACGGAAACCTGTCATTTCACTAACACCTTAGGAGTTACCTGCATTTTCCTTATAAGGACAATGAAGGCAAGGAGCAGGCATGTTACCAGAAAGGGGTCGCGATCCAGACCCCAAGAGAGGGTTCTGAGATCTCATGCAAGAAACAATTTGGGGTGAGTCCACAGAGTAAAGTGAAAGCAAGTTTATTATTAGAGAGGTAAAGAAACAAAAGAATGGCTGCTCCATAGACAGAGCAGCACTGAGGGCTGCTGATTGGCTACTTTTATGGTCATTGCTTGATCATATGCTAAACAAGGGGTGGATTATTCATGAGTTTTCTGGAAAAGGGGTGGGGATTTTCTGGAACTGAGGGCTCCTCCCCCTTTTAGACTATATAGGGTCCCTTCCAGACGTCGTCATGGCATTTGTAAACTATTATGGCATTGATGGGAATGTCTTTCAGTATGCTAATGCATTACAATTATTTCAGTGCCATCTTGGTTTTGATACGTTTTGGTGCATCTTATTTTATCAACAGGGTATTTTCGATGTGTATCTTGTGGAACCAGTCCTGCCAATCTCATCCAGTGACTAAAAATGCCTAACCTCCTGGGAATGGAGGTCAAGCAAGTTTCAGCCTCATTTTACACAACACCTATTCAAGATGGAGGTGCTCTGGTTCAAATCACTCTGACAAGCAGTCACTACCCCTGCCCCAAAGCCAAGCATTGTAGGGAATCTTATCTGGTAACAAAGAGTTGATCTGAAGTGATGTTTGAAAATGAGTGGGGTGGTTGTTTGTTGAATCAGTGAGACAATGAGTAGGGAATGAGGGAGACTGTCATTTAATTGGTAAAGACCAGAGGTGCTAATTGTTCTGCAATTCCATAGCATTTCACTCAGCATTCCACAAAATCAAGCATGCTCCCTCCCGAAATATTCACATCGCCCCACTGAGAAACTGCCCCAGAGCACCCTGGGGAAGCTCAGCTTTGCATTCCCACTTCTATTAGACAGCCTTTGTGACACACACACCTTGTCCCTGTGAACATGGTGAATGGAAATTATCTTCTCCACATTAACTTTGAATACATGGGCCAAGGAAATGGCCCTAGGTGTATACCAGTCCTGCTTCTTTCTCACTCCTTGGCTAGAGAAAGAAAGAATTTAGCAAATTCATCATTAGTCAAGAATAAGGGGCTGCATTTTGTTTTAAAAATCCTCTCCTTCCATTTTCAATTCTAGTACAGGCCATATCAGAATTATAATTAATGAAATAAATGTTAATTCAAATTATCTATATTTAATGAGTTCATGATTCATTAACTTGAAAAGAATCCATTTGTTTGCATAAAATGAATCTCAATGATGGAACTATATAATTATTTAGTATGAATGATGATAGTGCACTTAATAAAATTAGAACAATTTTTTGGTTAATGTTACAGATTAGGATTAATTAATACTAGTTATATGTAATTAATACTAGTTATATGTAATAGTTTTATATATTATATATGTAAATTATACTATTAAAATAATTAAAATCTTCCAATGTGATTCTAATAAAATTGTAGAACTCTATTCTTACTCTTATAGTAAAAGTTTTCCAAATCACCAAAATGAAACAGTAAGTTAAAATTGTATTCCTGCTATCAAATCTACTTCCTTAAGAACAGCTGTATTTGGCAAGGAAAGGTTCAGTGGTTTTATTTCATTTATGTTGACATAATATTCTCAATGAAAACAATCACTTCAAAGTGTATATCATGCTCTTAAGAAACAAATACTAATATGGTAATTTTATAGAAAGAGAACACTGTAATGGCAATTTTTGCCTCCTAGAAATAAGCAGCAAGGTAAAGAAAGAAGGAAGTAACTGACAAACTTATTCCAAGACAATTGCTAGCTCCTAGAGACATCATTTGCCTCAATTATTTTCTTTTCCTACATAGACAAAAGGGTTCCCTTTTAGAATTACTAAAAACCGGTTGCCACAGCCATCGGTATTTTCAGTCATCTTATTCCAGACAAGACAACTATTTTGTCTTAACAGAAGCTTTGGATTAACAGAGCATTTATTTTACTATGAGGCTTCAAAAATAAGCAATTCTGCATTACTGTCCAAAAGAGAGAGGCTAATTTATACCAAGTAAAACTGAGGTATGGAAACAAAAAATGACATGGCTCAGTCAGCTACAAGACTGGGATTAGAACACAGGAATCCTTCCTCAATGATCCGTCATTAAAATACTAGAAAGTTCCTTCGGGAAAAGTGGGAAGAAAAAGAGAAATCCATAAGAAAAAGAAATATTTGGTACACATATGGCAAATGTTACTCATTGAAAAACTCAGGCAAAAAACGCCATGATTTTTCTAGAAAACTTGACCTCTAAGTCTGCTTATGGATAAAGAGATTTTCTTCTGGCTCCACTGCCATCCAGGATTGTTTTGGGCCAATATCCTTCAGACCATGTCCATCCAAGTCCAGATATGTTCAACAGTAATGGGTCATAAGCCCCTAGTAAGGGAATTCACAAAGCCTTCTGTAAATGGGGCCTTTTCTCAATAGGGTGAGCCACATGTTGATGTGGAAAAATAACGTACAGCTTTGAAATTGTGCCTAGTAAATTAGGTGGTCACAGAAAGGTTAAATAGAGAATATATATTCTCTAAAAATATACATTGGTGTCTATGTTATTTGGATTTCCTAACTGTAACTATATTAATGAATAAATTCCAAATATCCATTTTAGGGGCACTGTGCAGACTTAGCTTTAAGTCTGGTATAGACATAAGAAGTAAATTGAGTCAGAACACAAAAAATCCCTTTCATGTGGTAGTTTATGAAAGGGATAGAATTCATCATTCCGTGTACAATATAACAAGTACACTAAGCTTTTCTTCCCCGAGCTTTTCTGAGTATTGCCAAGATTTCTATTAATTTACATATGGTAGACAATATGTGATTGATTTATTGATTGGTTGGTTAATTAGTTTATTCATTCATCCATTCATTCAACAAATATTGATTGAGAACCTTCCATGGAAAAAGCTTGGGTGAAAACAAACATGAAGAGTACACAGTACTTTGTCCTTAAGCTCCTAGCTGGTTGAGGAGACAGACAATAATAGATGATTAGTAACAGTGCAATCATGATCCATTCTGGGGCAGTGGTATAAAGATGCATAGGGGAAGATAGTCAACCCTGCTTGGGCAAATCAGTTTTTCCAGAAAGGAGATATATTTCAACTAGAATAAGGAGAAAGAAGAAATGAGATTGGAGATAAAGGAACTCCAGACAGAAAAAAATGCCACAATAAGCCATGAAAGTATGAAGTAATACTAGATTGCAAATTCAGAGGATTTTTCATGGGCGAGGTGCTGTTGTAAGCAGTTTCATGTATTGACTCATTTAATTTTCAAAACAACCCTATGAGGTGAGTGCATTTCTTTTTATAGGTTACAAAACTCAGGTCTAGAAAGGCTAAGTCACTCCCCTGAGATTTCAGGGGTGGTGATGGCACAGCTGGGGTTTCAGCCCCAGTAGTCTGACCTCAGAACCCCCATGGTCCAACACCACACTTCTGTTTCTGAGTCTCGATATAGAAGAATCGTGTGATGTAGCAAAAGCATCATCTGCATGAAGAAATATAGAAGGAGCCAACACCAGAAAGGCAGTGCAGGGGCAGTACATCACAGTCTCCAGGCCTCCACAGCTGACAAGCTAAGATAGCCAGAGCATAGCAGCTTGTAGAAACAGCCATTGTGTGTTGCTCCACTATCATGAAGGCCAGAGAACAAAAAGCAACTATGGAAGAACATTAATCACCTGCCTTACGTTGTTCTAATTACCTGTACAGATGAATGAGTCTCAACCACCTTACTCTTGTAACACTGGTTTTTGTTCTTTTGTCACATTTTTATTCTCTAGCCAGCCTCCCTCAAGTGTTATATGACACGTATTTATTTTCAATACAGATGTTGTATTGGGAATATTATGACACTGCTTAACATATCAGGAGATAGCCTGAGGTGTGACAGTTACCAATATGGATGGTGCAGGGGTTTCATTGCTCCATTTCTCCTAGCGTAACACACATGCCCATGGTTCTCCTTTGCTGTAGGCATTTCTCTTTCTAATTCACATTAAAAGCAGCCTCAGCCAATGGAGCACGTGAAGTCTGCTGTTGCACGGTGTCAACAGAGCCCTGGCACAACTCAGTTCCAGTCATCGTTTCCCTTTGGAAACTGTATGTGTCTGGTGCAGCCCCTAGATTATAAGGGGTCTAAAGCAAATGGCTGGTGTCTAGGCTTTATGCTGCAAATGTGTCCCGGGTGTTTTGTGTGAAAAGCAGCAAATTGAGAAAAGATGTCAGACACCTGGGATTTTTATCAGTGGACTTTGAGGGCAAAAGTGTCCTCTGGGGTCCCTGGACCTACAGAGTTGGACAGTATGATCACGGTGACCCTGGTAATGAAGTTAGCTTACACATATCTGAGCACTTGAAATTTGCTTTTGTTCTATGCCTACTAGTAGATCAATACATTTTCATTTTTGTTTGTTTTTGCTTCCTTCCATTCTGGGTAGAAATGTCTCTAGGGTGTTAAATGTATAGAAGATAAGAGCTTGCAAGATGAAGAGCCAAAGAGCTTTTTTTTTTCTTTTTTCTTTTTTTTTTTTTTCCTCAAAGACCGGGTCTTGCTCTGTCACCCAGGCTTGGAGTGCAGTGATACAATCATGGCTCACTGCAGCTTCTAATTCCTGGGCTGAAGTTATCTTCCCATCTCAGCCTCCTGAATAGCTGGAACTACAGGCATGCACCACCACACCCAGCTAATTTTTATGTATTATTTTTATTTATTTTTGTTGAGACAGTGTCTCACTGTTTTGGCCAGAGTGGTCATGAACTCTTGGCCTCAAGCCATCCTCCTGCTTTGGCCTCCCATATCCTTGGAATTAAAGGTGTGAGCCACCACACTTAGCCTGCTGGGGTTTTTTTCTAGCTTCTTTAAGACTGACCCTTCTTTGAACCCTAATTTTGAAGATGAGGAAGCGAGAGAAAGAAGGAGAGAAAAAGAGAGAAAAGGAGAGAAAACAGTCTTCCTATTAGGGCAGCTTACAATGTCTCTATGTCTGTCACCTTGAAGCCTGAGGGTCATCTGGCCACAACTCAAAGCCACATACCTGATCTCTTGGTCTAAGGCTCCAGGTAAAGACCCAGAAAAGACAGAGCCAAGCTCTCAGAAAATACTAGAGGAACAAACATGCCAGCTCCTCTAGCACCCTGCCCTTAGCTATTTCTCATACCTCTCTCATCCTTACAGCACTTGTAGCAGGAGCTGCATTTTGGTTGCTGACTTTGAGAGGAATGGAAATGCATGCCTTCTTTCTGCTCAAGGATAGTGGGAGAGTGCTATATATTCAACACTTGTCAAAAGTCATGATGGATGGGAGACTGCATCAGAATCAAAGCATGATGCTACCTCCTGTAAGAAGCCTTCAATGATTTCCCATATTTGCTTTATTATTTTTAGCTACCATTTCTCATGCATTTATATTGTTGGCAACTGAAATTCTTTATGTGTTTTATCTCCCTTAATTTAATCTTCAAAACAACTTGGTGAGATAGGCATAAATATTCTTCATTTAGGATCTTGGAACGTTTAAAGTGATCAGGGCAAGAGCACATCAACACTGTTTAAGTTACAGAGCTGAGATTCAGGCTCCAAAGTCAATGCTTTTAGCCACTCAGTTACACTTCCTGGAACTCAATGAAGAAAGCATCATGCCACTCTCTTGGTTCTATGATGTTCTGCCTTGTATTATTTGGGGGGATTACTTTTTCAAAATACTATAATAAAAACTATTCGTGATTTGGAATTAAATAAAATTTCTGCGTTGGAGCCCCAAGTTTGCTGCTTACTAGATACACAAACTTTGGGAAGTGCACCTGAACTCCCAGAATCTCCATTGCTGCTTCTGCCAATATAATAACCTCATAAAGTGGTTGGGGCCAGCACATGGGTACTCGATGCATCTACATAACAGAGGTGTGTTTTCAACTTTTTCTGTCCTTCACAGCACCTACTATAACACTTAGTTACAGAATGTGCTAAAAAATTTCCTCAAATTGGATTGAAATTTTAATACTGAGAGATAAAGTTATTAGACTTATGTAACATCCTTATTACTAGGTATTTTTGCCGTGTGGTTTGGACTGGGCTTTTTATGTTTGATGTTCCCTATATACTTAGTCACTCATTCAGGAGTTCGAGACCAGCCTGGCCAACATAGTGAAACACTGTTTCTACTAAAAATACAAAAATTAGCCGGGTGTGGTGGTGTGCGCCTGTAGTCCCAGCTACTCGGGAGACTGAGGAGGGAGAATCGCTTGAACCTGGGAGGCAGAGGTTGCAGTGAGCTGAGACCACGCCATTGCACTCCAGCCTGGGCAGCAGAGTGAGTCTCCATCTCATAAATAAATAAATAAATAAATAAATAAATAAATAAATGAAACTTTAATTTTTAAGAGTTTCCAATCTCTTCTCACTAGGATAGCAAAATTTGCACATTGCATGATCCACCACTTTCTTAAAGCTCCACCAAAGATCAGTGTCCAATACCGTTTTGTGATAGTTGGAAATAAGCAGTGCACTGAATCTAGACAGACCCTTGCCAATTCTCTGCTATGGGATCTTGTGAGCTGATTAACTCTGGGCTTTGAGTTTCCCATTTGTAAAATTAGGCTTGATAGAGGGAACTTCTGGAGTTCCTTCAGGCTTCTACATTTGATTAAATCTATTCCTTCACCCATGACAGTGGTTGCATGGTCTAGAAATAAGAAAAAGTACACTGAGCATTTGCCGGTAGCCCAGTATAACTGGCTGGTGACAAAACTACCTCATGTACAAACTTTGGCGCTCCAGACCCCCCAGTGCTCTCTGTCCCAGACTGTAAATATGGGATGAGATTTAATGTTCTCCTTCCTAACATAGAGGGTCTAGAATAGGAAAACAAATTATATTTCTATTGCATTTCCTTTAGTGCTAGTTGGCTAGTTTCCCTTCTTGGTGGGTAACTTTCTCAATTTAAAAAAAATCGTTGTTAAAAGAAGTATATTTTCTTCATTCAAACGAGTCTGCATTCTTGGCCCCAGATATGATAGTTTGCTCTCCATTGGCACTAGTGAGGATTCAAAAACAGGACATGCCTCAGCTTCTAACTTAGATTACTCAGACTGGTCACTTTTATCTTCTAATGTCTCAGGCTGGTCACTTTCCCTCTCGGCACTTCCCACCTCCCTCAAATTCTGTGCTCCTTTTGCTGCATGCTTTGAACTTGCCTGTTTCCTCTACTGAATCCAAGCCACTGGAGGACAGGAACCTCTACTTGCACCCATGTGTGATCTTTGAGTGGGATACACCACTGGCTGAAGTTCAACAGAAAGTAGCATCTCCATGTAGTGATCAGGAGTCCCCCAAGTGCACAGGTCCCAGGAATCTTCCTGAGCTTGGGACCACAGACTCTATGATGTGCTCTGCTGGCAGATCAGGGGACTTTGAGTACCTCTCCTGACTTTTCCTCAACAGTCTGCTAAGTGGATTCTCTTGGCTAGAAACATGAGAATTTTCAACCATTTCACTTGTCTTGGTGTCTTAGTCCAAGAGTGTGTAAATACAAGAGTGTGCTCAATACACCATGGATAAAGTAAGTTGATAAATCACTTCCTGTTTCTAATTCCAACTCCTCTTCCATGCCCATACAGGATGTTATGAGTTGAATTGTGCCCTTCCTCTCCATGTGTTAAAGATACAAAGTTATAACTTCTGATACCATAGAATGTAAATTTATTTTGGAAAAGTGTCGCATTCCCCTTGGTCTAGTGGTTAGGATTCAACACTCTCACCGCCGCAGCCCGGGTTTGATTCCCAGGCAGGGAAGCCTTCCTTCTTTGGCTCTGCCTGCCAACTGCCAGGCCCCTTCACACCTCCCCTTTTGGCCGGGCACGGTAGCTCACGCCTGTAATCCCAGCACTTTGGGAGGCTGAGGCAGGCAAACCACAAGGTCAGGAGTTCGAGACCAGCCTGGCCAACATGGTGAAACGCCATCTATAAAAAAAATACAAAAAATTAGCTGGGCATGCTGGCAGGCACTTGTAATCCCAGCTACTTGGGAGGCTGAGGCAGGAGAATCGCTTGAACCTGGGAGGCGGAGGTTGCAGTGAGCCGAGATTGTGCCACGGCACTCCAGCGTGGGTGATAGGGAGAGACTCTGTCTAAAAAAAAGAAAAAAGAAAAAATGTCCTACGTGTCCTTGTAGATGTCATTAATTAAGGTGAGGTCCTTAGGGTGGGCCCTAATTCAATAGGACTTATAAAAAGGGGAAATTTGGACATGAAGACAAGCCCACATACAGGGAGAAAGCCATGTGAATGTGATGATGGCAATCCACAAGCCAAGGAGAGAGGCCTGGCACAGATCCTTTCCTCATAGCCTTCAGAAGGAACCAACTCACCAACAGCTTGGTTTCAGATTTCCACCCTCAAGAACCATGACACAATAAACTTCTGTTATTTAAGCCACCCAGCCATGGCACTTTGTTACAGCAGTTCTGGAAACCAATACACAGGGCCATGGTGCTTTTTCAGGCTTCTTTCTGGGTCTGCCTTTGAGAACTGCCCCACACTTAATGATTGTGGAAGGGTCTCCGAGGGATAGTTTCATGTCAATGTTTCTGTCCAGTGGTGTTCCTGTCTTGTTCTCTCACCTCCTGAATTCCCGTGACCATCTTACCTTGTCCCTCCAAGACATGTTCAGATTCTCCTGGCTAGATTGAGACTGATTCCTGAGTTCTTAGACCACTTCTGGCTCCTGAGGGCACAGGCTAACTTATGGGAGGACAGGGCCTCTCCCAGGGGTGAGACCAGAGATCACAAACTCACAGCCTGCACGTCCAGTGTGATCCAGGGAGAAGTTGTTGGTTCTACTCAAGAGATTTCGGTTTCCTTACAAATTTAAATTTAGTTCCAACATTTATAATTTCCATACAAAAATACATCTGTCTTAAAAAATACATTGGAGAATTTGACAACACTGTGTTATTATCTCTCCGTGTCTTGCAAAATTGGTTCAGACCAATCTGGTCATGTACAACTCCTAGGTTCTTCTGATAGATAGAAACATCAAAAACTTTGAAGCAAGCAAGAGTTAGCTATCCTACTCAACTTCAAAGTAAATCTCAGACCAAATTCTGTGACCATCTATTGTTTAACTAAATAAACATTTACTAGCAAGCTGTCTATGAGGTTGGTGAAGTCCTATCAAGCTCTTAGTAATTTTTGTTGCTTTCAATGAATGTCAAACAAAAGGTACACCGCAGGAAGCTGTCACAGGATTCCAGAAACATGATTCTAGTACCCTGAGTTTCAGTATTGGATGAACTTCCATGCTCAGACCCAATGGCTAGATGCAGAGATCAGCTTTGGACACCATTTTCTTAGGTAACAGGCCACAGGTGCCACTAATTTCTAATGTGAAATTCATACAAGTTTGGGTAGTGTCTCAAAATATGCTTTAATTCTGCCAAGAAGCACCTATTTCTTAAATTCCTTATCTAATTAAAAAGCCACTGATTAAAAGATGAAATCTGTGACATTGAATATGTTTATTAGCTGAATTTCTGTGTTGATCTGACAGAAGCATTTGTAGTAGCCACTTCTGGACTGTGGACTTCTAAAAATAATATTGGGTGACTATCGCTGCCGTATGAGTTATTTACTGATCATGATGCCTGCTGCACCTGGTTTGTAGCTTAACCTTACTCCACACAACATAGCATTTTGTCTTGGCTGCAGTTTCTTACCCTGGCTGCGCATTAGAATCACCTGGAGAGCTTTAAAAAAAATTCCAATGCCCAAGCACGACCCCCAGAGATTCTGATTTAATGGGTCAGAAGCAAAGCCCAGACATCAGCATATTTTAAAAGGTCTTCAGGTGATTTTAAAAACTGACAATCGCTGGTTTCTGCTAAAATATTTTAAAATGCACGACTGTCATGGTAACAACAATTAGCTGGAGCTAAGTGGAGGCTGCTCCGTTTCAGTGGGATGGTGTTCCGCCATGGCCTCACAGGCACTTAGTGAGTTAACCCTATGATTTGCTTGGCTTTCTGGCAACTGTGGAACCCATGGCAAGTCTACATCTAGCCTCCAGAACATTTCTATGCTCTCCTAGGTCCAGTCCCTGTGTAATTGGTCCGCCCTTTACTACCCAAGCATAGAAAGAGAAGTAAAAATCAATTTGACACTTTGGGAGGCTGAGGCATGTGAATCACCTGAGGTCGGGAGTTTGAGACCAGCCTGACCACCATGGAGAAACGCCGTCTCTACTAAAAAATACAAAAAAATTAGCCAGGCATGGTGGTACACACCTGTAATCCCACATACTTGGGAGGCTGAGGCAGAAGAATCACTTGAACCCAGAAGGTGGAGGTTGCAGTGAGCCGGGATTGCGCCATTGCACTCCAGCCTGGGGAACAAGAGCAAGACTCTGTCTAAAATAATAATAATAAAAAAAATTTAAAAATCAATTTGCAAATTATACTTTCATGCAAAAGAACAGATTTTTTTACTTAAAGAAATTTGCTTAAAAGGTCTTATGCCCAGTAAAAGTTTGAGAGGTGCCAGGTTAGCTCTAAAGAAGATTTTCAGTTTTTCTAAGTCCTTACACCTTCTCCTGAAGAAGCTGTTTCCAAGTGAAGAGCAATGACATAGTGACTGGGCTTACTTCAGTTGTGGTCAATGATTAAACAACAGGGATTTATGTAGCTATATCCTGCCATCAACTTGACCATACTTTTTCTATAAGAAAAGTTTTATTTAAAAAAATTTATTATTTCTCTTATTTATTTATTTCTATTAATTACTTATATAATTCATTTCTACTAACAAACTCTTCCGCAAAATTTGAGTAAATGTTGACAGAAAATTGTTTTGTTTTAATGCGTTGTGTAGCCATTTATACTACCATGTAGAAGTTCTGCTTATTCCAAATATTTGTTTATTTTGTCCCCCCTTCTTTGTTGTCCTAAACTATTTTTATGGTTTCTCTCCTCTTCTATTTTAGCTTGTATCAACTGTTAGCTAGAATAATAGTACTCTAACATCCTAGTTAGAATATGAGGGTTAGAGAGAAAGATTTAGAATTCCTTGGATAAGGATGAACTAGAATGCCCAGGTATGAGTACTTGGACAAAATTTCTAGGAGATTTCAATATCCAGCATCCACCTCTCCCCTTCCTCAATCCTCTCCCAACCATCCAATCCCCACACGCCCAACGGAAAATGGATAGATAGATAGATAGATAGATAGATACATAGACAGATAGATAAGTAGATGATAGATAGATAGATAGATAGATAGATAGATAGATAGATAGATGATAGAAAATCACTGACCACAAACCCCAGGCCTTTATTTACTGAACACCTTAGTGATTTCTATATTTTCACTCAGCCCATTTAATGCTATATATAATGCTATTCATTTATTAGGAATTTCAGTGGTCTCTCCATCACTCTCTTCTAATCATGTTTCTCAAACTTGGTTGCACAGTGAATTACCTGAGGATCTTTTAAAGATGCCCAGTGCCTGAGATGCACCATAGATCAATTAAGTCAGAATCTCTGGAGGCAAGGCAAGACCCAGTAATTTTTAAAACACCCCAGGTGATACCAATGGCTGAGAAGCACTGCTCTGAATTGATTAGTAAATAAACTACTTCTAATCCACTCATCAAATCCCCACAAGACGTTCAAAGTCCAGTGAGTCTTAGACTTTATTATGCAAAAGAGTCTCCCTAGGATACGCTGGCCAGATTAGCAAATGAAAATCGAAAGGAAGTTTGAATCTCAGATATCCAAAGTTTCATATTATAGTATAAGCCTGTCCCATTTGGTTATCTGAGATTCAAAGTGAACTGGGCATCCTATATTTTCTCTGACAACCCTACCCTAGGTAAGTTTGTAACAGTGCGGATTCCAGGGCTCTGCCCAAATCCAATAGGTCAGGAGTAGGTCAAGCTATCTGTATTTTTAAGTAGCACATCAGATGATTTTGTTGCAGGTGATGGGCCACACTTTTAAGAATGTCATTCCTTTTATCACCTCATTTTTCTATTGGTGGCCAGTATCTAAAATTTTGGGCTTCTTAAAAGCATTACAATAAAACGTGAGCTTAAGTTGAGAAGTTGAATAGATCTCTTCACAAATGGTGACTCTCATAATTCAATCGATCCAAGGACTAGAACTGGAGTTCACTTGCTGGGTGTGTAATTAATTCCCTTGACATTTAGACAACAAACACTTTGAAAGTACCTATTTACTTACTTCATATTCAATTTGAGCTACACATTGAGAATGTTGAGACCTTGTTGTCAATGCCTGCAAGAATTGTGAGCACTGAAGAGTACAACAGAGAGATGCTAACTCTACCTAGCAAAAGTAAAGAATTTACTAGTAACACATTTAATTTCTTTAAAATTCAGTCATTCAATTGTTATTTCCATGTACATTTTAATAGAAGTCTATGATGTGCTGGGGTCTGTGCTGAGTGCTGGACTCAAACAGACAAACACAATATGATCCCTGCTTTAGGTCAGCAATCCTCAAATGTTTTGGTCCCAGGATTCCTTTTACCCTCTCAAAAACTTACAGAGAATGTCAAAGAATCTTTGCTTATTTGTTTAAATATTTATTTATTTATTTATTCATTTAAAATTAATAATTATACATTTGTGTAAACTAAAATAAATATTTTATGAAACATAACTGTACTCATAAACAATGGTGAAAGGGTGGCATTATCTTTTTCTGCAAATTTCTTTACTATCTGACTTAACAGAAGACAGGTGGAATCTTAATCTCTGCTTCTGCATTTAATTTGTTGGGTGATGTTGTTTTGGTTGATGTATATAAGGAAAATCTGGCCCCGTAAACATACTGAATCATCTGAACACAGGCTGCATTGAGAGAGCATACATTGTGGCAATGTGGCACACTGTGGTAGGCAGGACAGAGAGGCAAATCACAGATTAAATCAGTGGTCTCTATACATGTTTAATTACATATCTTTGCCAATTACATATTTTCAGCAGAAATACACACATGCACACATTATTATCACTCAATGATAATTCACTTGTTCTGAGGTTCTTTGTTAATTATAGGGAGTATAAATCCTTATTTCAAATAATCTTCTTAAAAATTTCACTTTTCATTTTCCCCCAGATCTTCACAGATCTGATTTCGTAATATGGTTGATAGGAGTAAAAGTGTCAGTTTCATGATTTTCTTAATGTTCACTTCTATTATTAGCATTTATGTTAATCTGTGATTTCTGTTTAAGAATATTTTTAAGATACTTGTCCATTTCATGAGGGCTACTTTAGATAACCCAGAAAACATAATCCATAACTCCACTCACCCAGAACCTAACCTACAGAAAGACTGAGCTACTGAGGCACCACTATTATTCCTGCAGCATCATGGAATCCCATTCTCCTCTGAGAACACCTTAGGAGCACAGTTGAAATAGTATCTGACCAGGGAACTGAGGGAAGACCCCAGGATCAAGCAATATATTAGATATGAGTTGTGCTTAATTTCTCTTCTTTTTTTCCTCCAAAATATAAGTTCTAGTGTTTTCTTTCCACCCAGGGGTATGGTCTGGGCACACCTGCGGGGCAGATCACTAGAGGAAACTGGATTGAACCTGGTGTGATTACCACCCTGGAAGACTGTAGGTGCAATGGAGGCATCATCAGGAGCACTGGGGCAATGTGACTGCTTCAAGAAAGGCTTGCTGGAGTAAGGAATACTTGCACTAAGGTTTGAAGAACAAAAGGACATGGAGTGGTGAGGTTGTGCATTCCAAACAAAGGGTACTTATATATTGTGATTTTAACTGGAATAATTTTGAAATTTCCTTCACTGAAAATCATAAATAAAAATCAATAGCGATAATTGATTAGTGACTAGGGGCCAGAGCTAGCTAAGTGTCATACACACATTTGGTCATCTGTTATTCCAACAACTCCATAAGTTGAGTACTGTGTTACATCTGAGGAATCTGAAGCTCAAAGAATATAAGGCCACACAGCTAGTCACCAATAAAACTATAGTAATAAGGCTTGTGTTCTCTATTGCTGTATGATATTGCTGCCTTAATGGAGCATATGGTAGAGTAGGAAAAAAATGTGAAATGATTAAAGTAATTTCAGAATGTGATTAGTGCTATTGGTAGTGGCAGAAGACAAATTCCTAGGCAAATAGGGACAAGTCCCTGGTGAAACCCAACTTTCTAGCTGAAGACAGTTTAAAGCCTGAAAACCAAGCAACGAGTCTCAGATAAATCCACAAACCAGACTGAGAACCTCTCTTCCCATTTGGCACACTTTCCTCTGATTAATCCCCAGCCTTCGCCTATTTTACATGTAATCTAACCTTCCCTAAATGGTTTTTTACACTGTTGTGCCCACCTTTGAGTAGTGTCTTTATTTATTTATTTATTTATTTATTTATTTTGGCTTTTTGCATACTCACAAACCAATCAGTACTCACTCCCCCATTCTGAGCCCATAAAAGCCCCGGGATCAGCCACATTTGGGAGAGGTACCCAACTTTGGGTAGGGGGTTGCCCCCTTTGAGTCCCCTCTCTGCTGAAAACTGTTCCATTGCTCAATAAAGCTCTCTACCCTGCTCACACTCTGGTTGTCAGCACAACTTCATTCTTCTAGGACACGGTACAAGAACTTGGGACCCACCAAGTGCAGGTATAAATAAAGCTATATAATGCTGTAGCCTTCTACCCGCTACCAGTGCCGAGCAGCCATTCCACGCAATGGGAAGCAGCAGTAGAGCTAGGCCAGCACAGCAGCCATGGACTTGAGCAAGGAAATGGGACTGGAAGAGCTGTTAACACTTCTCTATTCGCTGAGCTGCGAATGGTGGGAATGACACCCCTTGGGGCTCTGCAGTTCCTGGCATCTCTGAGTTTTCAGGTGCCACTGCGTCCCCCTCATCTGGACACTAGAGTCCACCATGGGAATCACTTGTGACATGCCTGGTACAGCTGCAAGTCCTGCCTTGAGCCCGCACCTCTGCTGGCACTTTGAGTAGCCTACCCGCCAGAGCAGCTGATGTGCCTGGCTGTGTGCTGTGGCCAGACCCCATGCTCACTCGCTCACATACCCCTTCCTGCTGTGGGCTGAGCATGCAGTCGTGGTGGTCATGGGATCTGGGCTGGGGCAGAAGCCGGGCTGGGGCAGAAGCCGAGCTGAGTGGGTACTTTGTGCAGTGAGCCTGGAGCTGAGCAAGGCCGGGGCAGGGGAGTCACTGGTCATGGAGGTCTCCAGCTGGTGAGGCCACATAAAAAAAAAAATCCTGTGTCACTATGAAATGGAAAAAATGAGCTGAGATAAAAAGTGATAGAGGAGCCTATTGGGTGGTCAATGATAGCATCTCCAAGATGACATTTAAGTTGAATTTAAAGGACTAAGAGGCTGTTGCCATGTACAGAGAATGAAGAAAGCCCATTCCAGAAAAAGGCAAGGGCATATACAAAGGCCCTGCTTTGGGACAGAGTCATCCGCAGAAACCAACTGCTGCCTTTGACTGCGTATGTGGGAAAATGGATAGAGAAAGGGGCTGGCTGGCTGCACATGGTGCCCCAGGAGGCAAGCTATAGTTCCATGGTTTGTATTCAGTGTGTTATGTCTCATTTGATTCTTCTTCAAGTGATTGGAGTATTAAAACATAAACTTGCCATTTGAGCCATAGCTACTACCTTATCACCTGGAGACTTTTATTATCTTGATAAGATCACTCAGGCATGACATGTGAACAAGGTACAGCTTGGCCTGCACTCAAAAGGAAAATCTGATGCAATCTGCACGTTAAAATAGAATTGAGCAATCAATTATTAATACGACAATGCAGACATGAAAATCTCGTTATGTAAAAAAGTAGAAATATTTATTTCTAAGATAACTTTAATAATACAGCATATTATCCATTTAACATATTTTTATAGAATTATCTTTTCCCTTAGAAAATCTTCAGAAATAAGTATGACTTTGCTGTGTAATCACTTACTGTACAATATTAATAATCCAAAAATAAATATATTTGCATGATTGCTGTACTAATGATGAAATTAGAAATTTGTGCTCACAGCTAATTTTCTTTGTCTTGTATCCCTAACACTTTGTATCCAATTTCACTTAAGCAGTGTCCGCTGGGAACACAGAGTTGTAGCACCAAAGGGAATGAGATTTAGATGTGTGTAAGGTACGTTTCATTTTCCTGGTCTCTGACACTCACTTAGCAACTGATAGCATTATTGATTATAGTGATGGCGTTGTTGATTTTAGGAGTCATTCTAAGCCCTGCAGGCCTCTGAAAAAAGGATCCTGCTTCACAAAAAAAGAATAATTTTCAAGATGTGGTGAGTTTGATCCTTTACCCTCTTGTGGAATAAGGAGCACATGGTTGGAAATCAGCATTAGCCTGAGGCTGAATCTTAGACTTAGTACCTTTTCAAGGTTTCTTATCAATTTAAGCCTGCTTGGCCTGACTTCCAGCCACACCCACCCTTGTGGGATTTCACTTCAAACTGGGCTGCAGTACCTGGTTCAGGACTTGTACCCTGTAAACCCCAGCAACTGCCATTCCTGGAAATCCTGCATTACAACAGCCCTGCCTTTGAAGAGAGAGGTTACTACAGTGTATCATCATGTTGCACAAGCACAACTGGAGTTATATAATCAGAATTCAGCTCTTTCATTTTGTCACTATTTCTTTAAATTTGTTCACATTTTATTGTTCTTAGATGAAAACTCAGACAAACCCATCCATGCCTTTTTGTGTGTCTTTTAAGCTTTAAGTCACACACAAAAAGTCACACACATGGTCATATTGTCCCTCAAGTCATGAGTTCTCAAATCAGAAATAGGAATCTAGTTCAATATATTAATCAATGGCCAGAATTTGATTCGATATCAGATCTTTTCCCCATTTTCAGGTCATGTCAGCTTTAGGCTAAAAATCTAAAATGAAAAAAAGGGGAAAGCACTGGTCTCTTTTCTATTTCTCTGCTAACTTCTTTCTATCTTCTTCTCACTCTACTTCATTTCTTGCTAGCCAGTTTCTGACTGCTCCATGAGAGACAGAAGGGCAGCACAGAGATAGGAAAATTCTATTTGGTCCAGTGCCTTTGTAATCTGGCCTCACACTCACTGGTGATGGTGCTGGTGTGTGCTTAAAGTGGACTCTCTTGAGCACCTGCATGAGCTCTTTGGTCATCCCTATGCCTGCCACCTGCCATCTAGATTATGATGTGAATAACGCCTCCTGGAATTCTGCAAGGCAGCAACCCTGCTTTGGAAGAAAGAAGTTATTATGGTGTCATTAGTACATTGAATAGGCAAAATTTGAGTTAGAATCAGAATGCAGCTCTTTTCTTCCAACTTTCATGACGTGACATGGGCAATGAGCATTTTCCTTCCCCTGGCTTCTCTCAAACTACCCTTCAGCTTTTGCTTCCCTGTTGGTCCTCCTCACTCAGACTTGGCTTTGAGGTGGTCTTACCAACTCCAGAGCGCCTTCTCTCTTGTGATTCACACCTGGGTCAAAGACAACGCTAGACATGTGTTGCCTCTGACCTGCCTGGTCAGTGTGTACATCACTTTATCCTGCTGCCTTAAGCGACTTTAGCTTGCTTGAGCTGCAGTCCATCATCCCCTTGACCACAGTGAATACCAAACAACTATCTGAAAGGTCCACTTGAAGAATCTCCTCACCAGCTTTGGGATTAGATTGTAGCAAATTCTCTTCTCCTTCCAGAAGACAGGGGAGTACAGGCAACAGCTCTCTCTATCACAGCACTGTTCAATAGAAATTCAGTGTGAGCCACACAGGTAATTTTGACTTTCTCGTAGCCACATTAAAAAGAAATGGGTAAAAATGTGTTAGTAATATATTTTATTTAATATGTCCATATATCCAAAATACTATTTCAACATGAAACCAATATATAAAAAGTATTAATGAGATAATTTATAATATTTTTACCCCATAAGTCTTTGAATCCAGAAAGTATTTTACACTTAAAGCACATCTCCATTTGGACTAGCCACATGTAGCTAGGGGGTACAATATTGGACAGTGAAGATCTATTGAAAATCTCCCCTACTCTCTCCATTTTTAAAAACAGACTTAATAAAATATTAAGACTTAATAATGCCCCTTAATAAAATACAATTTACATACTATCAAATTCTCTCATTTTGCGTGTACAATTAAGTGTTTTTTAGTAAATTTGCAGAGTTGTGCAACCTTCAATTCAATTTTAGAACATTTTGATTACCCCTCAAAAGTCCTTTGTAATCGCTGTCAGTTCCTACACCTAGATCTAGGCAACCACTAGTCTACTTTCTGTCTCTATAGATTCGTCTTTTCTGGACATTTCATATTAATAGAATTATACAATATGTGATCATTTGCTTCTTTCACTTAGCATATTTTTGAGGTTTATCCATGTTGTAGCATGTTTCAATATTTGGTTTCCTTTTATTGCCAAATAGTATTCCATTGTATGGACATACCACCATTTGCTTATCAATTTCCAGATCGATAAACATTGTAGGTGTTTCCAGTTTTTGGCTATTATGAATAATGCTGCTATGAGCATTCATGTACAAGTCTTTGGGTGGAAATATGCTCTAAATTTTCTTGGTAGATGCCTTTAAGTGGAGATGCTGAGACATATGGTAAATTGATATTTAACTTATGAAGAAACTGCCAAATTGTTTTCCAAAGTGGTTGTACCATTTCCCTTCACTTTCTGATTCCTTTTTATGTATCCTTGATTTTATAAGGATCTAAGAGCCAGGAAACCGGTCTTCCATGACTTCCTTTGAAAATTGTGCATGTGGAGTCCTGCATCTTTCATATTAGTAGTTATCAGATGGTCATATCTATAGATATCAAGTCTGCAAGAGTCCCATTTTAACATCTTCTTATAATATAGAGATTGATTCTTAGCACAAGAACCTCTTAGGAAAAGTTAAGCACTTCTTAAAAATGATCTCCTGTGACTCTTTAAAGGACACACACCTCAAAAGTATTGGAAAACAAGGTCTATGTGCACAGCATTTCTAGCATGTGGCTCTTGCAAACAATTAATTAGTAAAAGATGCACTTAGGCAGAGAATTTTCAATTTGTGTATAACAAAACAGGTGATCCTAACAGCTCTCCTACATCGTGGGAGGGGCATTATTTCTGAATAAGGGTCTCTATGAGCAGCTTGACTTTGAAAGAGACCTTGTCTCTCTCATGAGTGCATCTATGACTGCTAAATTTTAAATAAAAGGCCCCTAGATGTAGAAAGAATGGGAGGAGACACTGGACACAATTTCTTTGTAAATTAGAAAGAACTATTCTGTTGTTTCTTGTTTTTATCAGTTTAATAATCCTGTTGGGGTTTTTGAGAAAACTTGAGCCCAATGTCTTATGACTCCAGTGATTTTTCTTGGTGTTCACCGGAGGGGAATGAGAAAGACAATGTGTAGATTTAATCAGCATTTGATTTTTCCTCAATCCCTTTGCATGTAGAGAGGAGCAGCTGGTTGTAGGTAATCTTGCTCTTGGGAATTATCAAGTAAAAGAAAGAGACAAGCAGCAGCTTCTACAAAGGCAGCTTTTATGAGGCTGAGCTAGAAAATCACCAGAGAAGCAGCTGGGTTCACCATTTTCATCCAAGTAATTACTGGAAGAGATAGATGGTTTTCAAGGTCATTTGTAGAAAGGGGAACTAATGGCCAGCCCTTTCTCTGGGGGAACATTCACAAGACAGAGGATAGATGAAGATGTCAATTTTCCAGCCTGTCTGAAAGAAGCAAGAGCAGTGTTCAGAAATGAGGGCTTTTCCCATTGGGTAAGAAAGACCAGAGTTCAAACTCTGCCTCTGTTAGCGCTTAGCTGTGTGACTTTGGGCACATAGCTTAACCTCTCTAAGCCTTAGTTTTCTCATTTGCAACATGAGGACGATAATACCCATATTGTAGGTATTTTGTGAGTATGAAATGAGATACTCAGGTAGGATTTACTCCCATCTCCTTTTCAGAAACTAAGTCAACTAGTTTATCTAGAAGTCTCCATCTAACATAACCAACATCTAGGACAACAGGCGTTGTCCTTTTCTTTTGAAATCATTCCCATTAAATACATTTTGGAAATGATGTTTTCTGGTTATCACAGCCACTATAACAAATGAGACCAAAGATCTTTTAAATACCTCACCTTAAAAAATGAATCAAAATGAATAAATCACTTTTCAGAAACAAAACTCATTAAAGACATATTTTATTGCATAGCTGTTCCTTTGATCCAAACCAATTAATAAGCCATCTCAACCTATAAATGTTATTAACTAACCTTGAGCTTAGTCTTATGGTTCAAACTTGTTCTGGGGACAGGGCTGGTCTTTGCTGTGGCTGAAGTAGGGCCTCTTGATTCTCTGGGCTTCTAAGAAAGGGAGGTATAAAGCTATGTGGAGGTGGGGTTTGGTAAGGTAGTTTTTCATGCCAACCCTTGAGGGCTATTAATAGCAATACTGAGCTAAAGCTGGTTGGTTGCTATTGCAGTCCTCATAGAAAATTAAACTTTGTAATGTAAGCTTGTTATCCAGCAGTCAAGGAACTGGCTTGACGGCTGAAGTGCTTTCTTTATGTTTGGAGAGACAAGCGATAGACTGGCATATATCTGTATTTGCCAGTTACCTCAAAAGCCCTGATAATCGGTGTTTCAAAGAGTGTATTCCAAACCCAAATATATCAGAATCCCCCAGATTATTGGTAAAATGCAGATTCTTAGGCCCAAACTGTTGAATCAGTATCTGGTGTGGCCTAATAATGTGAATTTTATACAATGTTCTAAATGAGACATTCAAACTTAAAGCCAGAGGAAAAACTATTTTCGGAGTAGCCAAGAAGATCCTGTCCTATACGTAATAGCTAGGAGTTATGTTCTTCTCCATTCTCTGCACACACGTAAATTTTTCCCATATTTTTCTCGACATGTTCTATGTTAAGAGTTGAAAATCTTTAAAGCATCAAATAGCTGGGTTTAATTTTTCTATAAACAGAGAAAGCAATCTCACACATAGGGCCTTACGGCAATTTTGTTCTTGGTGGAAAGACAGAGATCTTCATAAAGTCATGCATCTGTGTCACTTGTTCCCCTTCCATCAAAGATGGCTACAGCCTCTAGCTTTATATTATTTTAAATATCAGCGGCAACAAAGGTTACATTGACAGAAGAGTTTTGGGAGACAATTCAACTCTGTTGCCATTTCTTTCTTTCAATAGTCTTTGCTGGTCTCCTTTATTTGCTTATTAAAAGCTTTCATCTTATTGCTTTTTCTCCCATTAGAGAATGATCAACATACTTTCTAACTTCTTTCCTTTTTAGGTTTAAAATAAAAGAAATCAATTTCATTACACATATAATTAATGCTCAATATTCGGACCTCAAACTCATTTGGTCTTCTTTTCCCTCTGTGGACAAGGCTAATCCCCCCTAAGGGTTTATAAATGGGCCCGGCTGCAGTTTGCAGGTGCAGTCGTTTGCTGGAGCCCAAGTCAAGATTTACATATGCAAATGAGCATGGATGTGCCCAAATTGAGTAATTGTGCATGCAAATAGGTGATTAAATAGACAATTACTAAATCTGCATGAACAAATGGGAGTTGTGCGTATTCAAAAAGCAGGGGACACCTGAACATTATGCAAACAGGCAGCTTTCCTCAAAGCCTGTGGAAATCTGGCCCCCAGGGCCTCGAAGTTGCATCAGTCCCAGAGCAAGCTGGGATCTCAAGTTGCACAAGTGGAATTTACACTTTGACCTCAGCTGCCATGGTAATGTCTAGATCTCTGACAAGGTCATCTCCAGGAAGTACATGGGAAAGGGTTTTGATTTCTGCCATTTCTTTCCATATACTAGATTTAAAGCAGAAATTTAAACTAATGATTTTAAAAATGATCAGTAGTAAGAAATAAGCTTTAGTTATTTTAGTGGGTTATAGTGTACACCCACTCCTCCAAACCAAAACTTCGAAACAGGCATAGAGAATTCAATCCAAGTTAAACAACCGTACCACAATGAATGTGACTTTATGATGCTCTTTCTCACAACTGTGCTGCCAAAAACAAGAGTGAGGCTTAATCACTCTTAGGTAGCTGTTTTTAGTTTGTCTTTGTGGGCTAGAGAAAAATACCCACTGGTTTTAATTCTTCATTTCTTCATAATTCGAAATCTCAGTTCTCTACCTACCGCCTAACATTGATAGATGGTGTTGTCAGCAGAGTACATCAATGAGAAATGATTTCACATAACCAGGGGGGCTTTTCTGACAAAAGATTAGTGGCAATGCCTAGACTAGCCTACCAAGAGCCGGAGATAAGCAGAATTTGAGACAGCCAAAGAGTGCTGATTGCTGAAATCCTCATATTTTTCAGGAAGATATTTCAGCCCTAGGATATTCTATCTTTTCCACATTCAGTTTTATATGAACCACTTCAAGTCTTTTACTTTACAAAGTAAGGAGTGATATCACTGCAGACCATAAAATCAATTACTCAATTCAATCAATAACCCAGTTAACTGGAATAATTTCTTTACTTAGCATCTGTCAGGAGGAGATTTCAAAATATTCTCACGAGGGGTCAGAAGTGAGTGGAATTAGCTGTGTCTACAGATGAAGTAGCCAAGTCTTCTATGCAGAATATTAGGCATTTCCATACATCATGCAGATATAGAAAAACATTAGCTGGTAATTATACAAGTCTGGCAAAGGAGATAATATGGAAACCGACTTCCCCAAAAGCACCCCTTCAGCATTATCTCTACACAGGTGCATTAGAAGCTAACCAAGGATTCCTCCAGAACTGTAAGTCTTGTGTATATAGTCCATTTGGCCAGAAATGCATTTAAAAGTGGAGAAATGCCTGTAATCCCAGCACTTTGGGAGGCTGAGGCGGGCGGATATGAGGTCAGGAGATCGAGACCATCCTGGTCAACATGGTGAAACCCCATCTACTAAAATAGAAAAAATTAGCCGAGTGTGGTGGTGTGCACCTGTAGGCCCAGCTACTCAGGAGGCTGAGGCAGGGGAATCACTTGAACCCGGGAGGCGGAGGTTGCAGTGAGCTGAGATCACATCACTGCACTCCAGCCTGGTGGCAGAGCAAGACTCCATCTCAAAAAAAAAAAAAAAAAAAAAGTGGAGAAACTAGCTTCACCAGCATAGTCTCAGAAGCCAAAGAAATCCATTCTCTTCCCAATTTCAAATGGAATTGTTGGTTCTTCCTTTTTCTTGAATATCTAAATAAATTTTTCACCAATTACAAAAACACCAGTGGCACAAATACTGCAACGCAATACATGTATGTATATACACTTATGTTTGCATTCATTAAAAAACAGTATATACTAACAATATAATGTCTCAGTCACAAGCTTCAGATTGCTACATGTTTGAGTGTTCAACAAAATCTACCAAATTCTAGCCTTTCAAATTACCTCCAGGGTTTTCTCCTCCCACATGATCCTTCCTGTATTTCATTGGTAGTAATGTCTCCCTCTGCCAGGCTCCCAGAGAACTTAATATACGGCCCTTTTCTTGACACTTAACAATGATGCTTTGCAATGAAGTTATTAATAATTATTTTCCCCCTTATTGTAATGTAAGATAATTGAGGGAGTTGCTGCAGTCAATATGGGAGGCAAGTAAGATTTATCCTCTATATCCAATGTCTCGGGCACCATGCCATCTTCATATGTGCTATCTTGTCCATGGTTTACAAACTTCAACTAGGTAAGTGCTATTAGCATTTTACAAATAATGAGAGGATGATTTGAGAGGTTTCATAACAGCTCAAAGCCTGCACCCTAGGTTCAAATCTCAGCCCCAACACTTGCCAGCCATGTGATCTTGGACATGCTTCTTGGCCTTTGAAAGTCTTGTTTTCTTCATTCATAAAAATGAGATAGAAATTGTGCCAATTTATTGTAGCAAGACATCTCATTATTAATGATAAGGATTAAAGGAGGCAATTCATAAGAAGTATTTAACACAATACTTGACTTATTGTCAGTGCTTCATGTTTCTGCTTATGTTGTTGGCAGTAATAGTATTGTTAGGTATTCTAATTAGCTTTTAAAGAAACTTTGTGTTCAAACATATAGATTGCACTTAGCAGTTGGCTCAGTAATTTTTTATCATTTTCTGGCAATGAATGAAGGAATGCACAAGTGAGTTCTAAGTATTTTCCTGGCACTTTGGTCACATTCCCTGGAACCTTGGGATATTTTATCTAGAGTTGCCAAAAACCTTGTTTTGTTGTGTTATAGATGCTGTCCCTATAGACTCCTCAAGTCTTCCAAAAGTGCAGAAGCCTGGAAAGCTGTTACAAATGAGAATCACTATTTACCAGACCCCTCCCAGAGAACACATGTGCATTTTGTCTTTGGTCTTCAAGAGGCTCTAACACACAGCTTCTTCCACTTTCCTCTTGATATTTGCCTTTTCCAGGTTTAAAGCAGAGGTTCTCAAAGTGTGGCATATGGAACCATAGGGATCCCACAGGCCCATTCAGGGAGTTCAGGTCAAAATGATTTTCTTCATGATACTAAAGTGGTATTTATCCTTTTCACTCCAGTGACATAAGCCCCGATGCTAAAAATAAGCAGTGGTGGGTGGAACTGCTGGTGCTTTATCTCAAATCAAGGCAGTGCCACCAAACTGTACCAGTAGTCATTGTATACCGCACCAGGCACTCACAGGGGGCAGGAAAAGCAGTTTTAAGAATGTCCTTGAGAAGAGTATACTGGGTTGATTTTATTCAATCTCTACCTTTCAGTTCACATCTTTTTAATATTTTATATGATGAAATGGTAAGTACACGTAAGGCAACTTATAAGGTGCACGCAAATGTACGATATTTGTTGGGGGAAAAGCACTTGTGTGGTTGTTTTAGTTGCAAGCTAAACTAGATACTTCCTCCATGAAATACCCTTTAATTTGAAAGAATGACTGACAGACAAACATGATTGTTCAGACTTAGGTATTTTGCAGATACTTTTCCAAAAGTGAAGTGATCCTGTCACTTCAAGGAAAATGACTGATGGTATTTGTTGCCAATTACAAAATTAAAGCTTGCAAGCAAAATTTAGAATTGTGAACAACTTGTGTCTACCACTGTGAGCTTGACAGTTTCCCAATATTTAGAAATTTTTCTTTTTTCTTTTTTTTTTTTTTTTTTCAGACGGAGTCTCGCTCTGTCGCCCAGGGCTGGAGTGCAGTGGCCTGATCTCAGCTCACTGCAAGCTCCACCTCCTGGGTTCACGCCATTCTCCCGCCTCAGCCTCCCTAGCAGCTGGGACTACAGGCGCCCGCCGCCACGCCCAGCTAATTTTTTTTGTATTTTTAGTAGAGATGGGGTTTCACCGTCTTAGCCAGGATGGTCTCGATCTCCTGATCTTGTGATCCACCCACCTCGGCCTCCCAAAGTGCTGGGATTACAGGCATGAGCCACTGAGCCCTGCTCACATTTAGAAATTTTTCTAATGAGATCGGTGGTAATATTAATGAACATACATTTTTTGAGATTGCAAAATGAAGCATGTCAACATGAAAATGGCATAACTCAGTGAACCGATATTTTCCAGATGACTGATGAGTGATGTTACAAAATTATTCATGACTAAAAGATTCATCTAAAGTGCAAGACAAGCTGATATATTTTAATGTTATAGAGTTCAAAATGTTTACTGATACAGGTTTTGAGTTCACACTGCAACCAACCTTTAAGAAACTACTAATTAGTGAGTTGTGGTATATTGTCAAAAAGAAATATCCACAATTATGTAGAAAGATTACCAAAATGCTTTTCCTCCTTCTAACTATGTATCTCTGTGAGGCTGACTTTATTTTTCATAGACTTCAACCAAAACAACATATAATAAATTTATTGCAGAAGCAGATATTTGAATCCATCTATCTTCCACTTAGCCAGATATTAATGAGATTTGCAAAAATGGAAAATACTGCCTCTCTTCACATTATACTTTTAGAAAACATAGTAATTTTTGATAAAAATATATTTATGTTATCATGTAATAGTTTTATTTTTATTTTTCAATGAATAAAGAAATATTTTAAATACTCAGTATTAATGTCGAATATATTATATATCAATAGACAACACCCATATAATTATTTTTTGAGGTCCCTAATACTTTTTTTTAATTTTATTTTTAATTTTAATAGCTTTACGGGTATAAGTTGTTTCTGGTTACATGGGTAAGTTATACAGTGGTAAAGTCTGATATTTTAGCATACCTGTCATCCGTGTAGTGTACATTGTGTCCAATATGTAGCTTTTTATTCCTCACCCTCCTCCCTGCCACCCACTTCTGAGTCTCCAAAGTCCAATATATTAATCTGCATGCCTTTTTGTACCCATATTAGATCCCACTTATAAGTGGTAATATATAGTATTTGGTCTTCCATTCCTGAATTGTGTCACTTAGAATAAATGCCTCCAGCTCCATCTAAGTTGCTGCAAAATCCATTATTTTTTCTTTTTTTATGTCTGAGTAGTATCCCATGGTGTATATATACCACATTTTCTTTATCCAGTAATCAGTTGATGGGCATTTAGGTTGGTTCATATCTTTGCAATTGTGAATTGTGCTGCAATAAACATACACATTCAGGTTTCTTTTGTATATAATGACTTCTTTTCCTTTGGGTAGATATCCAGCAGTGGGACTGCTGGATCAAATGGCAGATCTACTTTTAGTTCTTTGGGAAATCTCCATACTGTTTTCCTTAGAGGTTGTACTATTAATAATTTTTATTCCCACCAGCAGTGTATAAACAAACCCTTTGCACCACATCTATGCCATCCTTTCTTTTTTTTTTTTTTTTTTTTTTGACTTTTTAATAATGACCATTCTGGCTGGGGTAAGGTGGTATTATCTCATTATGGTTTTAATTTTCATTTCTCTGATGATTAGTGATGTTGAGCATTTTTTCGTATGTCTGTTGGCCATTTGTATATCTTCTTTTAAGGAATGTCTATTCATGTCATTTGTCTATTTTTTGATGGGATTATCTGGGTTTTTTTCTTGCTGATTAGTTTTAGTTCTTTATAGATTCCAGATATTATTTCCTTTGTTGGATGCATAGTTTGCAAATATTTTCTCCCATTCTATGGGTTGTCTGTTTTACTCTAATGATTATCTTTTCTGCTCTGCAGTAGCTTTTCAGTTTAATTAGATCCCATTTACTTATTTTTGTTTTAGTTGAATTTGCTTTTGAGGTCTTAGTCATAAATTCTTTGCCTAGGCCAATGTCCAGAAGAGCTTTTCCTAGCCTTTCTTCTGGAAGTTTTATGATTTCAGGTCTTAGATTTAAGACTTTAATCCATCTTGATTTGATTTTTGTATATGGTGAGAGATAGGGATCTAGTTTCATTCTTCTGCATGTGGCTCTCCAGTTTTCCGAGCACCATTTATTGAATAGGGTGTCCTTTCCCCAAATTTATGTTTTTGTATGCTTTGTTGAAGATCAGTTGATTGTAAGCATTTGGCTTTGGCTTTATTTCTGGGTTCTCTATTCTGTTCCACTAGTCTATGTATCTACTTTTATACCAGTACCATGCTGTTTTGGTCACTATAGCTTTGTAGTATAATTTGAAGTGAGGGAATGTGATGCCTCCAGATGTGTTCTTTTTGGTTAAGATTACTTTGGCTATTCAAGCTCTTTTTTGATTCCATGTGAATTTTAGGATTTTTTTTTCTAATTCTGTGAAAAATGATGTTAGTATTTTGATAGAAATTACATCGAGTCTGTAGATTGCTTTGGGTACTATGATCATGTTCATGATATTGATTCTTCCAATCCATAACCATGGAATGTATTCCCATTTGTTTGTGTCATCTATGATTACCTTCAGCAATGTTTTATAGCCCTCCTTATAGAGATCTTTCACCTCCTTTGTTAAATATATTCCTAGGTATTTTAATTTATTTTTGCAACTGTTATAAAAGGGATTGAATTCTTGATTTGATTCTCAGCTTGGTCGTCATTGGTATATAGCAGTGCTACAATTTTTGTACATTCATCTTGTAACCCGAGACTTTACTGAATTCATTTGTCAAATCTAGGAATCTTTTGAAGGAGTCTTTAGGGTATTCTAGGTATATGATCATATCATTGACAAACAGAGATAGTCTGACTTCCTCTTCCCCAGTTTGGATGCCCTTTCTTTCTTTCTCTTGCCTGATTACTCTGCTTAGGATTTCCAGTACTATGTTGAATAGAAGTAATGAAAGTGGGCCTCTTGTCTTCTTCCAGTTCTTAGGGGAAATAATTTCAACTTTTCCCCATTCAGTATGATGTTGGCTGTGGTTTTGTGATATATGGCTTTTATTATTTTGAGGCATGTGTCTTCTATGCCTAGTTTGTTGAGGGTTTTCATAAAAAGATACTGGATTTTATTGAATGTTTTTTTCTGCAGCTGTTGGATTCAATCTGCTGGTATTTTGTTGAGGATTTTTACATCTATGTTCATCAGGGATATTGATCTATAGTTTTCCTTTTTTGTTATGTCCTTTGCTTGCTTTGGTATCAGAGTAATACTGGCTTCATAGAATGAGTTAGGGAGGATTCCCTCTTTCTCATTATTTTGGAATAGTTTCAGTTGAATTGGTACCAATTCTTCTTTAAATGTCTGATAGAATTCAGCTGTGAGTCCATCTGGCCCTGTGCTTTTTTTTTTTTTTACTGGGAATTTTTTTTTTTGTTACTGATTCAATCTCACTGCTTGTTATTGGGCTGCTCATAATTTCTATTTCATTCAAGCTAGAAGGGCTGTATTTTTCCAGGAATTCATCCATTTCCTCTAGATTTTCTAGTTTATGTGCACAGAGGTGTTTATAGTAGTCCCAAATGGTCTTTTGTATTTCTGTGGTGTTGGTTGTAATCTCTCCATTTTCATTTCTAATTGAGCTTATTTGAATCTTCACTTCTTTTCTTGATTATTCTAGCTAATGGTCTATCAATTTATTTATCTTTTCAAAGAACAAATTTTTTTTTTCATTAATCATTTGTATTTTTAAATTTCAATTTTATTGAGTTCTCTGATATTTGTTATTTCTTTTCTTCTGCTAGCTTTGGGTTTGGTTTGATCTTGTTTCTATAATTCTTTGAAGTGTGATATAATGTGGTCAATTTGTAATCTTTTATTTTTAGACTTTTTGTTGTAGGCATTTAGCTCTATAAACTTTCTCCTTAGCACTGCTTTTGCTGTATTCCAGAGGTTTTGATAACTTGTGTCACTGTTATCTGTCATTTTGAAGACTTTTTAAATATTTTCTTGATTTCATTGTTAAAAGTCATTTAAGAACAGATTGTTTAATTTCCATGTATTTGTATAGTTTTGTAAATTCCTTTTGGACTGATTTTTAGTTTTATTCCTCTGTGATTTGAGGAAATACTTGATATGATTTTTATTTTAAAAAATGTATTGAGACTTGTTTTGTGGCCTATCATATAGTCTATCTTGGAGAATGATCCATATGTTCATGAGAAGAATGCATATTCTGCAGTTCTTGGGTAGAACTTTCTGTACATGTCTGTTAGGTCCACTTGTTTTAGAGTGCAGTTTAAGTCCAATGTTTCTTTGTTGACTTTCTGCCTCAATGATATGTCTAGTGCTGTCAGTGGAGTGTTGAAATCCCCCACTATTATTGTGTTAGTGTCTATCTATTTTCTGAGGTCTAGTAGGAATTATTTTATGAATCTGGGAGTTCAGTGCATATGTATTTTGGATTGTAATGTCTTCTGCAGAATTGATCCTTTTTTATTACATAATGATTTTCTTTACTTTTTTATTTTTTCTTCTTTTTTTTTTTAGTGTTTTTGCTTTAAAGACTGTTTTATCTGACATAATAATAGCTATTCCTACTTGCTTTTGGTTTCTATTTGCAGGGAATATCTTTTTCCACCCCTTTATCTTGAGTCTTTAAGAATCCTTATACGTGTAAGTGTGTTTCTTTAAGACAACAAATATTTGGTTTGTGATTTTTTATTTATTATGCTGACCTGTATCTTTTAAGTGGAGCATTTAGAATATTTACATTCAATATTAATATTGAGACATGAGGTACTATTCCAGTCATCACGTTGATTGTTACCTAGTTACTTTGTTTTCTTCATTGTGTTATTGTTTTACAGGTCCTGTGAGTTTAATGCTTTCAAGATGTTCTATTCTGGTGCATATCAACGTTTTGTTTCAAGATTTAGAATTCCTTTTATCATTTCTTTTTAGGGATGGTCTAATAGTGACAAATTCCCTCAGCATTTGCTTGTCTGAAAAACACTTTATTTCTCCTTTGTTGATGAAACTTAGTTTTGCTGGATACAAAATTCTTGGTGGATGGTTATTCTGTTTAACAAGGCTAAAGATAGGACCTGAATCCCTTCCAGGTGGTAAAAGGTTTCTGCTGAGAAATCTGCTGCTAGTCTTATAGGTTTTCCTTTATAGAATACATCATATTTTTGTCTCACTGTTCTTAGAGTTATTTCCTTCACATTGACTCTAGACAGCCTAATGACTATATGCCTTGGAGATATCCTTTTTGGAATAAATCTCCTGGGAGTTTTTTTTTTTTTTTTTTTTTTTTTGTTTAATGAATTTGGATGTCTAAATCTCTAGTAAGGCCAGGGGAAGTTTTCCTCAATTATTCTGTCAAATAAATTTTCCAAACTTTTTGCTTTTTCTTATTCCTCCCAAGAAACACCAGTGATTCTTAGGTTTGGCTGTTTTACATAGTCCCATATTTCTTGGATACTTTGTACACTTCTTTTAAAAATTTTTTATTTTTGTCTGATTGGATTAATTCAAAAGCCTTGTCTTTGAGCTCTGAAATTCTTTATCCTACTTGATCTAGTAAACTGTTAGAACTTGCCACTGCATTTTGTAATTCTGTAAATGTGTCTTTTACTTCCAGAAGTTCTAATTGATTTTTTTAATATCTATCTCTTTAGAACATTTTTAATTCACATCCTAAATTGTTTTTTAAATTTCTTTATGTTGGTTTTCATCTTTTTCTTGTATCTCTGTGAGTAACTTAATAAGCATCCTTTTGAATTCTTTATCTGGTATTTCAAAGTTGTCATCTCAGTTTAGTTCCATTGCTAAAGAGCTGGTGTAATCTTTTTGGGGTTTTATAGAACCCTGTTTTGTCATATTGCCAGAATTATTTTTCTGGTTTCTTCTTATTTGGGTAGACTATTTCTTTTAATTATTTTTGAATTTATTTTTGATTCAACTGTGCTTTTTAAAAATGTCCCATCCTTGAGGATGTGACTTTAATGTTTATAAATTGTTGTAACCTAATTCAGCTCTGGGTGAAGACTTTGTATGAGTTCTTTGGTTATAAAGAGCCTTTGTATGATGGCTTTTTCAGATACTGGTTGTAGTGGCAATATGTTAATGGTGTGAGTAGGTTCACTGTCTCCTATAATTTTGGAATGACAAAAGTCTCTTGAAGCTTATTTTTTTCCCAGTGGTATGTACTTTTTTATTTATTTATTTTCCCCCTACTATTTTAATCACTGGATTGAACAGTCCAGCCTTCAGGCCAGTAGGAAGTATCCACAGGTAAAAACCAGCTGTGGCTAAGGCAGGTGGGTAAGTGCAATACCCAGTGGAGGGCAGAGGTCACAGCATTGACAGAGGTAGTTGGAGGAGCTCTCAGTGAAAAACACTGAGGTCTTTTCAGGGTGAAGAGAGGGAATCACCTGAGTTCCCCTGCCAGGCCAGCAGGAAAGCAATCCACCTCTCAATCACACTCCTGACCCAGGGTTCCAGCTATTCAGATCAGACAGACACCTCTTTTCATCTGAAGGAATGCTGATGTTCCATATAGAAAAGGGTTGTCACTCTACCTCTCATGCAAACCTGAACCTGGAGAGCATTCCTCTTGTGGGGATACAGTCACTCTGAGATGTTCTAGAAAGGCTGTCTACAGAAGGACCTAAGTCAAGCTCCCATGAGAGAAGCCCCACCTGTGTCTTCAGTGGTGGGTGAGAGTGAGAAGAAGTCCCCTTCTCTGTGACACTTTATGAGCACCAAGGCTCCTGACTGTTGGGGTAGGGCTGCCAGCTTTTCCTACTGAGCCCAGCATTGCACTTGTGCTTCTGCTGAAAGAAACTTCCCAAAAGCTGAAAGTTCTGGGACTCAGGGCCTGTGGTCTGGATTTTCTTTGTCCCATTGGGTACACTCCCCCTTCCCCTAGAAGTAGTAGTCCCTGAGGCCCAAATTACTATGAATCCTTCTCTTTTACTGAGTCTAGCCTCCTAGGGGGCTGCCACACTCCAAGCTGGAGATGGGGAATGTCTTCAAGGGATCCAGTGATGTGACCTGTCCTCACGTCTCCCAGCAGCAGGTACCAGAACCAGTTCTGATGGCGTGGCAGGGGAGTGACTTAGACTCTTTGAGATTCTTTGGTTTTAAGCAGCCTTAGTGTGTTGGCTTTCTCACATGCCTGTTGTAGTAGTAATGAATTGGTCACATGGAGAGACTAAGGACCTCCTGGTTAGCCAGAGTGATGCAGGCAACGATGATAGCTGAGGTTATGCACAAGTCTTCCCCTTCCTGGGGGCCATGTTATTCTCCCTGAAGATGTTGTAATGGACTGTGTCAGTTGGCCTCCAACCAAGAGGTGGCACTTGTAAAACACCACCAGCTATTCTGGTAGCAGTGGGATTTGTGCTTGCCTTATGCTACTCAGGGGAAGTACTCTGGTTTCTCAGGCAACAAGCAGAGCCACAGAGCTCCCAGAGGTTTCTGTCCTTTGTGTTAAGCTACCAGGGCAGGTGGAGGGGCAAAGCCAGGTAGGGGCTGCATCAGGTAAGTCCACACTCTGCCTCTCCACATGCAGATGCAAGCAGTGGCCCCAGTGAGCAGTTCTCTGGCTGCTGGGGTAATAGTCCAGGGAGGCCACAGAGGGATTGGGGAGTAACAAGTGACAGTAAGCCCCACCCAACACCCACGCACTTGGCAAGTTAGATCTCCAACCTACGGTGTTCCACTAACAGTGGCTAGCTAAGTGCCAGGCAGTCTGAGCTCAGAACTAAAATCTCCCTCAGGCCATAAACCTTCCCTGTGAGACAGAAACCACAGCTTTCAGGCCATGCCCCTCTCAGTCCGTCTGTGAAGTAGGGGCATCCAGTTCCTGTGCCCATGACTACAACACACTTCCCACTGACCCCTTTGTTCTGGCCAAGGAGGTTTGTCCCAACTTGAAATTACATCATGAATCTCAGGAGCTTCCCTCCACCTGTGACCACCAACTGAGTTCGCCAACAGACTTCTGCGAGGTCCCCTGGGAGGTAGGATCAAGGATATGTTCCCTTCATCCCAGCTGGAGTCTGGGAGTGCTTATAAATTATGTCCAATGCCACTCCTTCTCATACACTTCCCACCACACACTAAATCAACTCCAGCACTGAGATAAGGCCTTCCCCTGTGGCCTGGATTGCCAGGTTCCCCAGTGGGGAATGTATATCCTGGGGGCAGTTTCTCCCCCTCTCACACTCTGGGGACTTACAATTTTCCTCCTCACTCAAGGCATAGGCTCAGCCTGCCATTTCTTTCAAAGGTTCTGTTATTTTTATTTTTCAGTTTTCCTGTTAATTTCCTGTGTTGCCTCTTGGAAACAAGTTCACAGCATGAGTCTCTACAAACTATTTTGTCTTTCCAAGTGGGAGAGGCATGCTAACAATTCCTCCAATCCACCATCTTGGGGGAAAAAAAGGCCCTAATAATTTTTAAAAGTGTGAATGCATCCTGATGCCAGAAAGGTTTTGAGAACTATCAAATAAGCAACTGATGTGGACTGAATGTTTAAATCCCTGTAAAATTTATTTGTTGAACTCCTAACCCCCAAGGTAATGGTATGAGGAGGTAGGGTCTTCAGGATGTGACAAGGTCATGAGCGAAGAGCCTTCATGAATGGGATTGGTGTCCTTATAAAAGAGGCCTGAGGGAGCCTTATACTTCTTCACCATGTAAGGACACAGCAAGGAGGTGTCCTCTATAAGCCAGAAAACAGGCCCTCACCAGACACTGAAGCTGCCTTAATGTTGGGCTTTCTAGCCTCCAGAAGTGTGAAAAATAAATTTCTGTTGTTTGTAAGCTACCCAGTTTATGATATTTTGTTATAGCAACCTGAATGCACTAAGATAGCAATGATTTATAAACTTGTTTGTAACATCGGAAACCTGTACTCAAAGGAAATTTTAAATTAAAGACTAATTTATAAAAAGATAAAAATCTGAGTTGCTATGGTGAAACAGAAAAATAGGACCCAAAGCCTCCCAGTTTTGCCTCTTCCCTATTCCCTTTCACTTCCTCATGAGTCCCTACCTGGAATCCCAGTTAGAAAATCTCTATGCAAAACCATCAGTAAGCTGATGCAGCAGGCAGCAGGAATGCAGCATCCCAGGCCAAGTGGGAGTGGAGAATGATGTCAGGGACAACGTTAAGATGAGTGATGCGAGAGCCTTAAATCAGATCATAGACAGGATAACCTCCCCTGTCTCCTTTTCCATTTATCCACTGGAGCTTTCTTACTGAAAAATACTTGACTTCTGATCTCTTAACTATGTGTGGAATCACCAGTGAGCACACCCCAAAGTGATTAATTTGGTATGAAGGAAAGGTGGTGTCTGAGCATGGGATGGAGACAGAGAAATTCCTGGCACATTTTTTTCTCTGAATTAGCAGTGTTGGGGTTGAGCAATTGAGGAATAATTTCCACCCAACTGTAGGACCAAATACTATTTTGAATGACCGGGGAATAGAATGAAATACAAGAATACACAGGAGGGTGAAATAATAGCAGCAAGTCTAGAACTGGGTAGAGTATTTTCAGGTGGTTCTGAGTTATGGACAGACAGTAGAATGTAGAGGGAGTATAATACAACTAGATAATGGAATTCCAGGACTCCATCTTTAGTGCTGGCCTCTGTGCTGACATCCAGATCAAAACCAGTTTCTGGGCTTTTACTTAGCTTTCTAAAAAATATCTCAAATTTAATTTGACCTGGACTTGCTATTGCATTCCTTCTGGTTCTATGTCCTATGTCAATTATGGCATTATCATTCACTGTGTCAATAAATCTAGATCTTCTGAAGTCTCCCATGATAAAGGTTTGGGGTGAACAATTGCCATTGGGAGGCTGTTCAATGTCCAAACCTCCTTTTCCAGTTGGGAGAAGCCACCAGACTTAACGACACACAATCTTCTCCTTTCCTAAGAAAGAGACATACTCTCCCTGCACCCTCAGGCTTGGCACCCAGTTGGCTTAACATCATTGGAACAGAGTGTTAGGGGCAACAGGTTCAGAGGGAGTCATGCTGAGTAGCAGCAGCTACACCAGTGCATTTGAGCCACATCTTTCCTTCCAGCGATGGTGAAGCTCCTCCCTACTCTTGGCTGTCCAGAGCCTTATTTGCCTTTGTGTTGTTTGTTTTACATTTTTAACATCTGGTTCTCAACTCTCACATTGGTTATCCCAACCAGTCTTAATAAAATTTTCCCAATAAAGTCCTTTCTACTCTCATAGCCAGAGACACTTGTTCTTGCTTGCAGTACAAATTCTTGAACTAGACACTATTTTCTTTCTATTTTATTTTAAAAATGTCTCCCCTACACACCTAAGTACTACTCTAAGTTCAGGCCCTTATCATTTGGACAAGAACAATTGTGCCTCCCTGACACCAGTCTTTCCCCACTCCAATCCAACCTCTCCACTCATATTGTTTTTTTCCAAAGATTTTAGCATAGCCTTCTTTCTTTTGTTCAATAACGAAAGCAACCAAATCTTCCTGGCACCCTTATGCTTGCAGAATAGTGTTTGACTACATATCATTCAAGGCCTCTCAATCTACTTTCCAATATCCAGCATACAGCTCCTGTGAGCAGAAGACAATTCAAAATTATTTTTGTAGCCCCAAGATCTGGCAAAACACCTGGTGTAAAGTAAAGCCCAATAAATGAATGAGTGCATGCATGCATGCATGACTTGTTACTCAGAAACCCAGTACACTCGATACAATTAAGTGTATGTCATTTCCCAAAGTCTCTACAGAAACATTCACATCTTTCTAAATATAGTCAGGCACTGCCTAACGATGTCTCGGTCAATGGTGGACCACATATAAGACAGTGGTGCCATAAGATTATAATACTGTATCCTTACTGTACCTTTTCTTTGTTTAGATATGTTTAGATACACAACAGCATTACAATTGCCTACAGAATTCAGTACAGTAACGTGCTGTACCGGTGTGTAGCCTAGCAGTAACAGGCCATCCCTTATAACCTAGGTGTGCAGTAGGCTACACCATCTAGGTTTGTGTGAGTACACTCTACGATGTTCAAATAACGACAAAATCATCTAAGGATGAAGTTCTCAGAATCTATTTGCATCATTAAGGGATGCGTGACAGCATATGAAAAAGTATACATAATGTCTATTTTGGGGGTTCTCTGCCTCATAGTGCTCTGTTTCTATGGCTGGTATGCACTTATCTTGATATAGTCAGTTTGATTCTGCCTGCCTTGTCCAATAATGCATAAGCTCTTTCAGGGCAAGAACCATCTGTTATTTATCTTTGCACTCTTAATGCTTAAACACAGAGTAGATGTTTGATATATCTTTGCTCAACTTGCCTCCTAAAGAGGAAATGTGTGGTATGAGAAAGGAGTGGGTAAGAATTCTGCTTGACAAAAACTTTACTTCCCACAACTCATGCAGAAATGTTTTCAAAATTTCAACATTAAATATGCTCTTTGCTGACTGCTTTTTGTCAACACCCTTTGCCAGATTGAGGACATCCACCTTTTGCTCTCTGTTTCTTGACAGTGGTGACCCTGAGGGCTTGACATTTGCATACCAGAAACCTCCTTGGCTTCAACATTTGCTCACATCCCTGACAACAGAGTTTCTGGGGCATGGTACTCACACTGTAAATTGCACAGACAGAATTGAAGTAAAAATCTCCCAACTATTTCTGATAATGAAGAGGGTTCTGAAAGCCTACCAAAGCCTCTATAATTATCTCAAGTGAAACCTTCTTATTAAACTTTAAGCTCTTTTCATTTTGGTTATTGTCATTTACGTGAAATGGGTGAATGGGAACGAAGCCTGGGAAAATTATGAAGTTGTTAAGCCTGTTTATGTTCATTCAGCTCAGAGTTTGAGCTTAAAAAGTGGAGTGTGTGTAGGGGAGGCAATCAACGCATCTTTATGAATGAAATCCAATAGTTATTAACAGATGCTGTAGCTTATTTTCCTTTGGCTGAAAAAAAAGGAGAAGGGTCAGTGTTAGGCAATATATTTTCTGTCTTATTTCATGGTAGACAACTTTGAAATATTTAATATGTTTATCAACATTTTTAGATATGCAAAAGAAGAAATTATTTGGCTCTTTTCTTATACAAGGATACTAAGCTATATTAAGCAATGTAAACATTTCTGCTTGTAGGGATTGGTCTCCAGTGGTTGGTTGTCAACCTCATGTAGAGCCTTCTCTTAGGTCCAGCAGCCCCCTTTTTTAGGGGTGTCTCAGCCAGAGGCACTTTGCCATGAAGGCGGGAGAGGCGTGGACGAACAGCAGCCTTGGCATGCCAAGTGGTGATACCTGCTCATCCATCATTTCATTTAGACAAATGAAAGATTACAGCCCTATGAGAAAAGGCAGTCACAGCCACACAATGCTTTGTGCACAAAGTAAATTGCTAGTTTCCTGTGATCTTTCTGACAAGTAAATTACTGCAGAAAATAACATAGATGGGAATACAATGACAAAAATGCAGAGACTTGGTCGTTCAAAGGAGTTATTGGACCTCTGACACAACCATTTCTAAAGAACCTTAGACCCTCTTTTCAATGGAAAGAGGATTTTCCTCCATCTTTCTATAGTGTATTTTGAAGAGAAATAATATATGATGGGCAGGGTAAGAAGTGGAATTCTCAGTAATCAAATATCATTTTTTCATGATAGGAAGATATTAAAATTATGCATAAAGAGAAGAGCTTGCTTTGGGGATTGCTGTGCCTGTGATCATTCTAGCTTGGCACTGAAGATCACAGTGATGCAGTCTATTTTGCATAAAAGATAGCTTCTGAGAGGTCTTTTTATATCTTAACAATCCTAGTTCTTCATATTTTTATTCAATCATAAAATAGGAGTTCTTATTTTGTTTTTTTAACAAATAAGAAGAAATTCCTTTCATTAGAATTCATTTCCCTTTGCCTATTCCAAGCCTAAACTCTCAAACGTCTTCTAAAGACTGTATGAATCCCCGAGGCAGAAAAATAAAAGCTTTATTAGCAAAGTCAAGTGGAGCTGAGGAGGGAAGGGTACTGAAGATAACAGAGGTAATAATCTAATCACAAATATCATAAATTTCTGAGCTTCAGATTCCTCAGAGATGTCTCAAAGTTGACAGACTTCATAAAATTGTAGAGTCAAATAGGATTTTTAGCAAGACTCAGTGACATGAAATGGTCTATTCAGTACCTAAGACACTGCACCGTGAAGCTGACACTAGAATCCTGATGTTGCAGACTGTAGAGCTTTCTACTACTAAAGTAGGGATTTCTTCCAGAATTCTTACAGCAGGGTGCTGTCAGGAGGAGAGCACTTAGTAGGGAGACCCAATCCTCCAATTGATAATTGGTTGTATGTCTTAGGCAAGAGACATAAACTCTTCGTGCATCGTGTGGAAGATGAGGGTGTGGGATGGGATTAGGCATTCTCAAGTGGCAGCACAGGGAGGGTGTACTTAAATAGCATATCTTCAAGACCCATGTCATAATTTTATACTTAAGACGATAGCCTACAGAATAAAAACCGTAGTGAGCAGAATGCAGTGAAATCAGCTAATGAAGCATATATTAAATGCACTGAAAAACACAGGAATAAAATGCCAAAATATTTCCCAGAGCTGATAGCCTTGGTGGTCCCTAATGACGGATGCTAATTCCTTCTTGTTCATACATTGTTGCCTTAGTCTCTACTTCCTCATCATTGTTGGTTTGTTACTGCATCAAGTCCCCTTCCAGGGTCTTGGGAAAACTGTCCTGTGAGCACAAAATCATTGGCAGATTTTAAGATGCCAAACATATCACTTCTTGCATTGTATTTAAACACTATTATTTAAATTCAGTTCAACAAACATCTTTGTATCCTTACTGTGTAAGTAAGACTTTGTTCCTGCCTTTGGGGGCTTTGTGCAGAAGATAGTCAGACTATCAAAAAATGACCTTTGGGGCTACACTGAGCTTTCGGTCTTCTGTCTCTTTGTCAGCTTTATCCTAAATAATCCCACACTCTGAGGCATTTGGGGGAATGCACATACATAGTAAGGAGAGAGGCTCTCTTCCTTTGAAAGAGCAAGCAGAATGGACATTCCTGAAAAGATTATATTCTTTGTAGTACGCTTTCCTGCAAACTGTTCATTTGAGGAGCAGAGGAATCTAGTGCTTACTTTATTAAAATGAAGTTTTGCTATCTGATTTGGTTGAGTAAATATCGACACCTGATTCTAAGGTGGAGAACTTATAATTTTCATTTCCAACAAATCCTCAAGTAATGCTGATATTGCTGCTGCAGGACCACATTGGAGAGCTCTAGACAAGCAATATACAAACTGAGATGTATGTACACGCAGGGATACATAAAAACGTATCCAGGGGTACCCAGGAGTAGATAGAGGCACTGAGAGCACTTTCCAGATCCTCAATTTCTATGTTATTATTTCCTAATTAATAAAATAATCCATCTGAGAATTTAGCCATGGCTTTACACTCCCACCTCCCTTTCTGCGATTGATTATTTTCTCCCACTTTGCACAAGAGAAGCATAACCCTCCCCATGAGGAAAAAGTTTGAAGAATTGAGTGAGAATGCTATTAAAAAATTCCTTCCATTTGTATCTACTTATTTATGTGAATAAGGCTTCTTAGTGCCTCTTTTTAAACAAAATAGCAATAGTAGTAAGGCTGAAATCTGTCTTACTCTAGCAGCAAGTAATATTTATTTATGGATCTATGAATCCATTAACAAAATAAAAGTTACACTCCTCATTAAGTAATATAGTTCAGTAAAATTTTCCTCCTTATAACTATGTGTTCAGTATTTTAACATATTTATTGCGTTTTGATTAACTGTGTATAAAAATGCTTATAATAATAACTAAACACAGAAGAAAAAATGTTCACACTTAAGGCCTGTAGTTACAGAAAATAAATAGAAAAATTTAACGTATATAAATATTATTGCAGCATATAAATAGGATAAGAGTATGAGTGAAAACTTTCAAAGATGAATATATCAGGATAGAATACTGAGAGAAAGGAAAATGAAAATATCAGGTCATGGAAAATAAAACAATGTATAATTTCACACTGTTTAAGAAGTCATTCGTACACTTTTAAAGCAACAGTGGTTATCAACTCACTATGGTATTTTGATTCTTTACCTACATTTAAGGTTTTTATGTTAAAATGTCCTGGTTTACAGTATGAGAGAAATTACAGTTTTTGTTACTTCTTAAGATTTTAAAACTTGTCTACTTAAAACGTGTTGTTTTACATCTTTTTTTCATAATTTTTTTCGGGGGTACTTCAACAAAAATTTGAAGACTACTGCTTGTGATGGTACTTGTAGCCAGGAGAGACTGTTTTTCTACTCAGGTAATTATCAACTGTTTATTTTATTAACTTTCAAAATGTATTATAGTTAACTCCAGGGTGGAGGCCATCAAGGACCTTCAGGGACTATGAAGTACAGTTCAAAATGTGGCCTCCTCCCCCAACTGACATTGTAAAGCCCCCTTGCACAAGTTTCCATTCCCTCCTCCATAGGTATATGAGAAATGGGAGAAGAGCCAGCTGTCTTTGCTTTTTTCTGCTATCTCTGCCCTCCTCTATTTCCCCATTTATGATTGCTATGTGTCAGTTCCGCCAGATGCCATCACATTCCGTTTTCCCAAGATTTGTGAAAACTTGTCTCTGATTGGCTTAAAAACTCTACTGGCTTAAAAAACTCTCTTGACTTCCAAGCTGTGCTTGAGTGTCTGACGGCATTTCTCTGGGCCTCTTTCTTTATCATTAACACCAGTTACCTCACCACAGGGAAGCTTGCTGGGCGTACAATGTAGGGTCAGAGGTATGGGCAGCTTTACCTGGTATAATCAATTTGTAATGTAAAACATCTTGAGCCGGGCGCGGTGGCTCATGCTTGTAATCTCAGCACTTTGGGAGGCCGAGGCTGGCGGATCACGAGGTCAGGAGATCAAGACCATCCTCGCTAACACAGTGAAACCCTGTCTCTACTAAAAATACAAAAAATTAGCCGGGCGTGGTGGCAGGTGCCTGTAGTCCCAGCTACTCGGGAGGCTGAGGCAGGAGAATGGCGTGAACCCGGGAGGCGGAGCTTGCAGTGAGCTGAGATTGGGCCACTGCACTCCAGCCTGGGAGACAGAGCGAGACCCTGCCTCCAAAACAAACAAACAAACAGACAAAAAATCTTGTATACATAAAAAATTTTGCATGACTGAAAGTTTAAAAAATATCTTTCCACATACAAAGTCAATACCAAGATGGATTTGGCCTTCTTCCACTAGTTAGCAAAATTAAAACTTTTGTGTTTCAAAAAATGACTTAGTATGAAAATGCATTTTAATTGATAGATATGACTATGTAAAAACTTCAAAACACTCTATGTTCAAGAAAACCATTAAGAAAATAAGACCAGCCTGGGCAACAAAGCAAGACCTCATCTCCACTAAAAATAGAAAACGAACAAACAAAAATAGCCAGTAGTTGAGCTATATACCAGTAGTCACAGCTACTTGGGAGGCTGAGGTGGGAGGATTACCTGAGCCATGGAGATGGAGGCTGCAGTAAGCTATAATAGTGCCACTGCACTCAGGCCTGGGTGACAGAGCAAGACTTTGTCTCAAAAAAAAAAAAAAAAAAAAAAAGAAGAAGAGGGCCAGGAGGAAATAACCATAACCCAATAAACTTGGAAAAACTCCTCATGTGTATCAAAATAAAAGGTTAATTTATTGTTTCTTTATGCCAATATACTTTTCTTCTTTTATTGTATATATTTCAGGTTTATAACATGATATTTTGATATACATATACATGGTGAAATGATTACCACAGTCAAGTAAATTAACATATCCATCATCTCTTATCTTTTTTATATAGTAAGAGTACCGAAAATCTACTCGCTTGGTAAATTACCAGTAAATGAGACAATATTATTAATGATAGTCATCATATTGTACATCAGATCTCCGTGCATTTATCCTAGAGAACTGCAACTTTGTACCCTCTGAATTACTTTTTCCCATTTCCCCAGCTCTCTTGGCACCCCCTCCACCATTCTACTCTCTATTTCTTCCATTTGAGGCATTTTTTTTTCTATTTTGTTTTGTTTTGTTTTTAAAGTCCACATATAAGTGAAATCATACAGTACTTTTCTTTCTGTATCTGTCTTATTTCACTTAGCCTAATACCTTCTAGATTCACTCATGTTGTGGCCAATGGAAGGATCTCCTTTTTAAGGCTGAATAATATTCATGAGTGTGTCACTATAACGTCTTTATTCATTCATGAACACACTTTGATTGTTTTCATATTTTGTCTATTGTGAATAATGTTGCAGTGAATGTGGGAGTGCAGATATCTTTATGAGGTGGTAATTTTATTTCCTTTGGGTGTATACCCAGAAAAGAGATTGCTGGATCATATTATAGTTCTAGTTTTAATTTATTTAGGAACTTCTATACTGTTTTCCACAGTGGCTACACCAATTTACATTCCTATCAACAGTGCACAGGGGTTCCCTTTTCTCCATACCCTCATCAACACTGATCAGTTGTTTTTTGAGAAAAGCCATTCTAACAGATCTGAGGTGATATTTTATTCTGGTTTTTGTTTTTCATTTCCTTGATGATTAGTGATGTTGCATACCTTTCCATGTACCTTTTGGCCATTTTTACGTCTTCTTTAGAGAAATGTTTATTAAGTGTGTTTGCCTATTTTTTTAATCAGGCTATTTGGTTTTGTTTTTTGTTTGTTAGTTTGTTTTTTTGCTATTGAGTTGTGTGAGTTCCTTATATATTTTAGATATTAATCCTTTATCAGTATATGGTTTGTAAATATTTTTTCCCAATCTGTAGGCTGCTTTTTCATTTTATTGATTGTTTCCTTTGCTATGCAGAAGCCTATTAGTGTGATGCTTATGTTTATTTTTGCTTTTGTTGCCTGTACTTTTGGTGTCTTATTTCAAAAATTCATTGCCAAGATCAATGTCAAGAAGACTTTCTTACGTTTTATTCTAAAAATGTTAAGGTTCCAGGTCTTATAGAGTTTTAATCCATTTTGATTTGATTTTTGCATATGATGTAAGGTAAGTGTCCAATTTTATTCTTTTGCATGGTGTTATCCAGTTTTCCCATCACCATTTATTGAAGAGCCTATTCTTGCTCCATGGTGTCTTCTTGGTACCCTTGCCCAAAATTAGTGGACTGAAAGGGTTAATTTCTTATCACTGGATTTTTGAATTATTTTACATATTCTGAATAGAAGTCTTTTATCAGATATAAAATTTGTAAATATTGTCTCCCTGTCTTTAGTTTGTCCTTTTATTATCTTAAGTAGTATTCTTTTGAAGCATGTGCATTCTTAATTTGATAAAACCCAATTTATCAATTTATCCTTTTAAGAGTCATGCTGTTAACATCATACCTAAAAAATTTTTGCTCAACCAAAGTCTACAAATATTTTCTCCTATATTTTCTTCACTAAGTTCTATAATTTTTTTCATTTTGCACTTAGGTTTATGATCTATTTGGGTTATATTTTGTATATGATACAATATATATTGAAGTTTTAAAAAATTTGAATATAAATATGTAATTGTTTCAGTAACATTGATTAAAATAATTCTCCTTTTTTCATGAGTTGTCTTGCCTTTCTATCTTTGTCAAAAATGAGTTGTCCATATATGTGTGAAAATATTTTTGGACTTTCTAGTTTGTTCCATTGATCTATTTGTCTGTTATTTTACAGCAATATCCAGTCTTAATTTATCTAGCAATATATTTTAAAATCAGGTAGTGTTCGTCTTCCAAGTTTATTCTTCCCTTTTCATGTTTTGGCTATTCTAGAGCCTTTGAATTTCCACACGAATTTTAGAATCAGCTTGTCAATTTCTACAAAATGTGTGCTGGGATTTTAACTGGGATTGAGTCTATAAGTCATTTTAAGAAAAATTGATTGAAAAATATTGAGTATTCTGTTCCTTGAAATAGATAAATCTCTCATTTCTTTAATTTCTCTCAGCATCATTTATAGTTTTCAGTATACAGGTCTTGTGCTTCTTTCGTCGACTTTATTCCTTAGTATTTTGTAAGCTTTATGCTCTTTTAGATTATATTGTACGTTAAATTTTGATTTTCTATTCCCTGTTGCTAGTATATAAAATCATAATTGATTTATAAATGTTATTTATTCTAAATCTTATATAAATTCCCTTATTAGTTCTAGTAACATATTTTCAATTCCATCTGATATTCTACATTGGCAATTATGTCAAATGTGAATAAAAATAATTTTAGTTATTTCTTTCTAATATGGACGCCTTTTATTTTTTCTTCTTAGATTATAGCTTTGGCTAGAATCTCCAGTATGGTTTTGACTAGAAGTAGTGAGGCCATAAATCTGTGTCTTGATCCTGATCTTAGGGGAATTTTTACCATTAGGTATAATGGTAGCTGTAGGTTTTTCATAGATACCCTTTATTAGGTTGAGCAAGTTCTCTTATTTTCCTAGTATGCTGAGAGCTTGTATTACAAAAGGTTGTTAAATTTTATGAAATGCAGTTTTGATATCTATGCATATTTTTCTTTTTTAGTTTGTTCATATGGTGAATTTCATTGATTGATTACAAATGTTAAATTAACCTTGCATTCCTGGATGAATTTCACTTTATCACAATGTATTACTCATTATTTAATGTCAGATTCAATTTCAAAATGGCCACAAGATTTGAAGAAATGCTTCACCAAAAAAAATATAGCTAGTAAATAAGCACATGAAACTATTTTGACATTACTAATTGTTCTGCAAATGCCAATCAAAATTACAATAAGATACCACCCCATACATATTGGAGTGGCTAAAATTTAGAATAAACTATACCAAATGTTGGCAAGAATGTAAAACAACTGAAACTTTTAAACACTGCTGATGAGAATATAAAATGGTGCAAACTCTTTGGAAAACAATTTGGTAGTTTCTTAAAAAGTTAAATGTACACATATCATATGAGCCATTCCACTCCCACACGTTTACCCAAGAGAACTGAAAGCTTATGTCCATACAAAGTGTTGAAAATCAATGTTTATAAAAGCTTTGTAAATATCTCAAAACTGAAAACAACTCAAGTTCCTTTCAACATGTAAGTGGACAAACCATTTTATAGCCATACAGTGGAATACTACTCAGCAATATTAAAAAAATGAAATAGTAATATATGCCAAAACATGGATGAATCTCAAAATAAGTTATGAGTGAAAGAAGTTAGACAAAAAAGAGTGCATAGTATGTGAGACTATTTTTTAAATGAAAAGAAACTTACAGTAACTGAACATCAGTCAATGGTTGTCGGGTGCCATAGTTTGGATTTTTGTCTTCCAAACTTCATGTTGAAATTTGATCCTTAATGTTGGAGGTAGGTCCTAATGGGAGGTGTTTCGGTTATGGAGGACAGATCCCTCATGAATGGCTTGGTGCCATCCTCACAATAATGCTTGAATTCTAGCTCTATTAGTTCCCCTGAGAGCTGGTTGTTGAAACGAATCTGGCACCTCCCTCCTCTCTCACCCTGTCTGGCTTCCTTTCTCTCACCATGAGATGTCTGCAAACACACACTGGCTCTCCTTCCCCTTCTGCCATGAGTGGAAGCAGCCCAAAGCCCTCACCAGAAGCAGATGCTGATGCAATACTTCTTGTACAGGCTGCAGAACTGTAAGCCAAGTAAACTTTTCTTTGCAAATTATCCAGCCTTGGGTTTTCCTTTAAAGCAATGCAAGTGGACTAAAATACCTGATAACATAGAGGGGACAAAGAGGACAGGAGGAAGGGAGACACAAAGGGGCAAGAAGAAACTTTTGGAGATGATGGATATGTTTATTATCTTGATTATAGTGATACTTTTACACATCAAAAGTACATTTTAAGTATGTTCAATTTATTTTGTCAGTTGTAACTCAATAAAGCTGTTAAAAGAGATAAATAGGCCAGGCACAGTGGCGCATGCCTGTAATCTCAGCACTCTGGGAGCCAGAGGCAGGTGGATCACCTGATGTCAGGAGTTCGAGACCAGCCTGGCCAACATGGTGAAACCCCATCTCTACTAAAAATACAAAAATTAGCTGCGCATGGTTGCAGGCACCTGTAATCCCAGCTACTGGGGAGGCTGAGGCAGGAGACTCCCTTGAACCCAGGAGGCAGAGGTTGCAGTGAGCCGAGATGGCGCCATTGCACTCCAGCCTGGGCAACTAGAGTGAAACTCTGTCTCAAAAAAAAAAAAAAAAAAGAGGCTTATACTCTTAATCTATGAAGAACTCTCATAATTTATTTAAAAAAATAAGCACCAACTAGGAAAACTGGCAAAGAACATGAACAGGAAATGCACAAACAAAAAAGAGAGATATAAATTGTTAATATACATTTTAATAATGCAACCTCTCTTATAATCAAATAAATTTAAATTGAAGTAATATATCTTTTGATTGAAATAGAAATATATTTAAATTACAGTATTTGTGTTGGAAAGAAATGCTTGATGAAAAGGTATTCTCATGCACCCTTATAAGAATGAAACAGACACAACCTTTCCAAAGTGCACTTAGGCAATATATATTAATCAAGAATGCCAAAAGCAATCAAATCCTTTGACCCCAGTATTTCCACTCTTAGGAATATATCCAAAGGAAATAATCAGAAAACACATAAAGATTAATGTAATGAAGCCTCAAATTCTATAACTTCTAGACAGAATTTTGGAAATATGTTAATGTCCAAAAACAGAGGGTGGTTTAAAGAATGCAGGATATGTCTAAATGATGAAATATTCTTTAACTCAGTAAAGATAACGTTTTCATACAATATTTAATGAGGTAAAAATACATTGCATGCAATATTTAGGATCCAGAATATGTTTGCAGTCTGGTTCCCAAACTGGTTAATATTCATAGGTAAGCACACAGATACACAGACACACACACATGCACGCACACAAGAATTATTTTATGATTAGAAGTAAATCAAGTCCAAGGTCCAAAAATGTTATCTTTAGCCATTGATAACAAATGACAAAATTTTTAAATATTCCTCTTTACATGTTTTTCTATTCCTGTTTTTTAAATCATAAAATATGTGATTTTATAAAGATATAAAATACTTTATGAAGAAAGGGAGACTGTACAAGAAATGACTTAGAACATTTCTTTTTCCCAGAGGACCAAAATAATCTCAGTAAAAAAATTAACATGCATAATTATACACAATGTCACTTCTCTCACCATCTCAGTCTTACACCACCCTCTTGTTTTATTGTTTTCTTATGCATCATTTCAAAGAACATGAAACTCGGTTTTGAAGTTTTCTTTAAGGGAGTTGGAGGCAAGCGTTTTGCCTCTAGGAAAGTTAGTTTAAACCAGCAGTAAAGAAAATAAAGGAGAGAATATTAGCAGAAAAATAGAAGTAATGGAAAAATTTGAAAGTCAGAGCCAAAAATTTCACTTTTCTCAGGAAGCGAAGAGAGGGACCTGAAGAAAGGAAGAAACCAATGATAGCAGCAGTTGCAGAAGACATTTTGATCAGACAAGAAAATGGTAGTCACTCATATCATAAAGTCTTCTCCCAACTCGAGAAATGGCCAGCTCCAAGTTCTGCTTTGGTCCACTACGATTAGTAATACTGGCTCTGTAATTTGCAAACTTTAATTTCCCTGAGGAACAATTCTAGGTGCTTTGACAGATCTGAATTATGTCACCCGTTAAGGTTTGGTGACCTTAACCATACATCTTACTTTATGGGCAAGTTAATCAGAATATTCTGTAATTATAATTCCATACTCTCTAATTTATAGTCTTTCTTTTTTTCTTACAAAGCAGTGCAACATTCTTCTTCCTCCCCTACCCCTCTTATAAGACCCTGATTTTTGTAGGAGGAATTATTTATTATAGCTTTGATGTAAATGTTTAAACCTCATTTTTGTGGAGGCCTCTCTAGCACCTTTTCTAACCTCGACGAATGGCCTGAAGAGCATTTTTCTTTCAGACAAATTGTATCCTACATATTTTCTGGTGTTGAACAACCTGCCACATCCTTACTTGTCAAGGCTAAGCCTTGAATTTACAAGAATTGACACAAACAACTTCAAATCTTTCGATCTTTGATTGTTTAGTCAGACCATTTTAGCTCCTTCCTGCTATGACTTCTCAAGTGCTCCTGTCACAGGTTTCAGCTCTGATGTTAAACACCTGGCATTTCTGCAGAGTTCAAGGTTTCAAATGTTCAGATAGATGGTTATGTCACGATCACACATCTACACCACTTACTTTCAGTTTCTAAAGACAGAAGAACACACAGTATTTCCTATAAAAATAACAAAATTATATGACTACTAATTTTAGTTGTATGTATTTCAAAGCAATGCTGTAATATTGCAGTTTAAGTGCCTTAGGAGAGAATCTGCTACATATATACAATACTCCTGAAAAACCGATATTTTGAGTATTTATTGGACTTTGTACTGAGTGCCCAACGCACTGCACAGGAATGGTCCCACACTAAGGAATATCATCGTGAAATTTCTAACCACTGGGGACAATGTAAAGATTCTACACATTCTCAGAAACAAAAGAAATGTTCACATATGAGGTATCAAGAATTAGAATGGCTTTGGGCTTCTCAACAATAACTAATAGAAGCTTTAAGTCAGTGGAACAGCACTTTCAAAATTCTGCTTAAAAATCCACCCAGACTATCAGTCAAGCCTGAGTGTAGAACAAAGACATTTTCAGACCTTCCAGTTCTTTAATAAAATGTCTTCTCTGCATGATTCCCTAGGAAGGTTTCTGAGAGTTTCTTCCACTAAGCCAATGAACACAAAGATGTGGGTTCCCAGCCGAAAGAGAGGCAAGAAGGTGCTAGTGATGGCAGAGGAGGGACTTCCCCAGGGCAGCTGTGCAGTAGGAGATGCCAGTTCAGACTGAAGCAGTTCAGGCGCTGTCAAGAGAAATGTATTCAATAAGAAAATTCATTAACCATAGGATACATCTAAAAATACTGAGAGGGGATTTTAAAAATTAGAGGAGTTTCGGGTCTAATTACTACAGAGTATACAGAAAACTAAGAAAGGCAGAACAATTATTAACTGCAGGGAAAATATATTTTTTTTAAAAAAAGGAAAGTTAATCAAAGTATACTGTATAGATCTAATTACACCAACACCGAATATTGCTATACCAAATTAGAAGGACAGGGCATAAGTGGCAGGGTGGGATGGTATAAAAAAGTTACATTCTTATTCTTTATAGTGAGAAATCAATATATAAGGCTAAAGAGTAAAAATATCAGGAGAGCAATAAGCAAGCAACTTAGATATATAGAGGTAATAGGGGAAAAAAGAGCAAAAAGAGGTGAAAGTGGTTGCCTCTGAATACTTGAGCAGGATGGCTACTATCTTGCTATATAAGCCGCCTATAAATATTTAACTGTTTTAAATCACATTCATCAATACTTACATGTAGCTCTTAATAAAAACTATACAAAAGAGACTTGGTTTTGAACATTAAAAATAAAAAAGCTAATGTCTAGTTTTTTTATTTTGTTATTTTCTTCTTATTACTTCTATTTAGAAATAATTGTCTTGAACACCTTCATTGAACACCTTTTTTGTGCTTTGGGTACACAGAGATATTGGATAGAATCCTTGCTGTTGGGGGTTTAATCCATGCTGTTGTTATTTTTAAAAGTAGAAAATCATAAGTATCATGAGAAACAAACATAATGTCACTAAGTTTAGAGGAAAAGCCATCATATCCAGCTGAAGGAGGCTCAGTGCTGTCTTCTAGCATTGGGAGGCTGTAAAGAGATACACATCCATGGCCGGGCGCGGTGGCTCACACCTGTAATCACAGAACTTCGGGAGGCCGAGGCGGGCGGATCTTGAGGTCAGGCGATCAAGACCATCCTGGCTAACATGGTGAAACCCCTTCTCTACTAAAAATACAAAAAATTAGCCAGGCGTGGTGGCAGGCACCTGTGGTCCCAGCTACTCGAGCTGCTGAGGCAGGAGAATGGCGTGAACCCGGGAGGCGGAGATTGCAGTGAGCCAAGTTCGGGCCACTGCACTCCCGCCTGGGTGACAGAGCGAGACTCCATCTCAAAAAAAAAAAAAAAAAAAGAAAAGAAAAAAAAAAGAGATGTACATCTGTTGGGAAGGGAAGAGTAGAGAAAGCTCATAGTGTTTGTATGAGACCTCATGTGGTTAGTTTGTTGTAGCTCAGAGCTTGTAAAAGAGGAATTAAGCTGGGAAGGCAGGCTGCAAATGTATTGTGAAGGCTGGTTCTGCCAGCTTAGAGGTTTCTGGGGTTTCAAATACTTTTCCCATGTACTTTGACTCTTTGTTTTCAGAAATGTAAGTCTGCAGAAAGAGGATGGCGGAGTCTAGCTATTGCATTATTCATAAAACATGCTATCTCTTAAAGTTCTCACCTTCTGAATCTTCCTATATCCCACAAGAGACTTTAACAGTCTCTCTAATTAAACTTTCATTTCCCAAAGGATTTTTTTTTTCATGTTATGGGTATTTTTATACAGAAAAACTGAGCTGTATTCTTCCCTTAACTCAACCTAAGCCTTCCCCGCCCCCCTCCAAAAAAAAAAAGTTAGCAAATGCAATGAAAGTAAATACTCTTATCTTCTGGATTCTTTTACATTTCTAGTGATTAATGAAGCAGTTATCATGTGTACTGGATAGGCAAGAACATCAGGTGCACAAAACCTTCCTCATATATGATAGGACAGGCTTTTATTGAGGCCCCTTTTGTTCTGCCCTTCTCAATTCTCACTTTTTTTATTGAGTTCTGGAATGACAAAATGACTCTCGTCCCAGGGAAGCCCTGTCCTGCATTCCTCAACTCTAGGAGCATGTCAAAAGCTAAATACCCTCTTTAGGGTAGCCTGGGTTAAAGTCCGTTACAGACAGGCAGCCCCTGGAAAACTGTAAGAGCAGCCAAGAAGAAAGCCATCAGGGACACTTTATCCGAGCCTCCCATGTCTCAGATTGGATTACAGCTCTTTGCTTTGATTTCTACCCACTTAGGTCTCTGCACTCCTTCCTTGGCTTCCCCCTGATTCTAACCTTTAGATTGTTAACTCCTATAGACATTCCTCAGGAGTGTGTTGTGAATCACTGACCCCTGGGATCTGCCCACAAAGCTTACTTCCAGATTATGGATTCAATGGGACCTCTGATATTGCAATCTATGTTAACACCCTAGCGCACCCCAGATTTTCTTTGTACCCAAACTTTGGGCTTGAGAGAAGTAAGAACAACAACTGGGCGCGGCAGCTTACGCCTGTAATCTCAGCACTTTGGGAGGCCAAGATGGATGGATCACGAGGTCAGGAGTTCAAGACCAGCCTGGCCAAGATGGTGAAACCCCGTCTCTACTAAAAATACAAAAATTAGCCAGGCATGGTGGCAGGCACCTGTAATCCCAGCTACTCGGGAGGCTGAGGCAGGGAATTGCTTGCTTGAAGCTGGAGGCAGAGATTGAGTGAGCTGAGGTCGCGCCATTGCAGTCCAGCCTGGGTGACAGAGAAAGACTCCGTCTCACAAAAAAAAAAAAAGAAAGAAAAAGAAGAAGTAAGAACAACAGACTGATTTAAGAGTGAAGTCTATTTAACCAGTGTACTCATTGAATAATGCCTCTCCTTCAGGGGCAGTGTCTTTTATTTTCAACACCTCCTCATTAGTTTCTATGGAGCACAGCTAAATATTTGGGGGCTGGCAAGCCCAAGGTTTCTACTTGCTGTTTGATCAGAATTTGGGGTAAGAATCTCATAGCAGTCAGAATGGCTATTATTAAAAAGTCAAAATAACAGCAGATGCTTGTGAGGTTGTGGAGAAAAAGAAAGTTTATATACCGTTTGTAGGACTGTAATTTAGTTCAACCATTGTGGAATACAGGTGGTGATCCCTCAAATACCTAAAGACAGAAACACATTTGACCCACCAATCTCATTACTGGGTATATACCCAAAAGAATATAAATCACTGTATTATAAAAATACATGCACACATATGTTCATTGCAGCACTATTCACAATAGCAAAGACATGGAATCAACCCAAATGCCCATCAATGATAGACTGGATAAGGAAAATGTGGCACAGATACACCATACAATACTATGCAGCCATAAAAAAGAATGAGATCATGTCCTTTGCAGGGACATGGATGGAGCTGGAAGTCATTATCTTTAGCAAACTAATGCAGGAATAGAAAACCAAATACCACATGTTCTCACTTATAAGTGGGAGCTAAATGATGAGAACACATGGACACACAGAAGGGAGCAACACACACTGGGGCCTTTTGGAGGGTGGAGGGCGAGAAGAGAGAGGGGATCAGAAAAAAATAACTAATGGATACTAGGCTTAATACCTGAGTGATGAAATAATCTGTACGACAACCCCCATGACACACATTTACCTATGTATCAAACCTGCACATGTATCCTTGAACATAAAATAAAAGTTAAAAAATAAAAAGAATTTGGGGTAAGAGCACTACCATTTAACCCCTGATGTAATGCTGAAGCCTCTACACCAGCATCAGGGTCTTCATAAAGATGAAGGTCAGGGAGCAGAGTTGATCCAGTTATGGGCTCAGATAGAGAAATCATGATGATGACTGAAAATCTGAGTAACTGCTCCATCTAGTTAACAGCTGAAAATCTGAGTAACTGCTCCATCTAGTTAATATTTGGATCCCAAATAAAAACACGATAAATTATGAAACTAAGAAAAACATAAGCAGAGAATGTGGAAAGAAGGGATGGCAACCAACCACGTGTCAGTCACTGATTTAGGACTGTATTTACATTATCTCATTTAATTTGCACAAAACTCTATAAGCAGAAAGGATATGTAAAAACACTTCTTGAACACTTTATTAGTCCACTTTGGTTCTAGTGGTAAGCAACACCAAAATCTCAGTTGTTTTTAACAACAAACCATATGTGTCTTGCTCTGGAGTCTGAGGTTGGCCCTGACTCTGCAAGGCTCTGCTGGACTCAGCTAGGCTTGGAGAGACTCCACATGTCTTCTAATTTTGGGAGAACTAACTAGGGTGTGCTTTTTATGGTGGAGGGGAGAATCTCAAGAGGAATGAGCAGAATGCCATGCTACCTATAAAAGTCTCTTCTCAGAACTATAACTTCCACTCATATTCTACTGTTTAAAGCAAGTTGCATGGCCAAGCCAGGCCAGAAGGCAATGGAATGAGGATGTTAGGGTCAGCATGGATAAGTCACATGACAATGGGCTGGTAAGTTTTATCCTAACCAAGTGTTAGGGGATATTGTTGGAAGCTATAGTCCAATCTCTGTCAATCTCCCACCCACTCCCCTTCTTTCTAAAATTTCTCTTCACTACAATAGCATTTAGAAATAAGAGGTATACCTGGCTTTATCGGCAAATGAATGAAGACTTTGAAAGGTTAGCTAATTTGCCCAAGGACTGGCAAGTATCGAATGAGAGACTTAAACCTAACCTGTCTGAGTCTCAAATCCATATTCTTTTCCCAACACTTTTGTTAGAGAATCACCAAGTCTGAGATTTAAAAAAATCTAAGACAACCAGAGATAAATTATGCACAAAGTAGAATTGTGGGAATCATTTCCCTGCAGAGTAAAAATATGAAATTAATTAAGTTTAATGAGTCTGAACATTAGAAACAATTTTCTTAGACATCTTCTTTTATAATACCACCCTTTGGAAGGATATGGTAGGATGAGGTAATGATTAGAGTGAGTCTTAAACAAAATTGTAAAGAAAGTTTTCTTTTTATGACCTTTCGTCCTTCTTTTATTTATTTTGTAATTCATCAGAGGCCCTGCTATCTGCCCCAGAAGCTGGCTACACATAGCTCCTTGTTGCAGTTCCTTCCTTGTGCTTGCCCTCCTGACCAATGCCCAAGTCACAGAATGTTCCTCTCTCCTGTAAAGCATAAAATCTCCACATTATCAGTGTTCCCATCAGAAGGTATACATTTTGAAAGAGGATTCCTGAAAATAACGTCTAGCCTCAGATAATGTTTCTTATGACCATTTGACCCTGGGGTCTAATGTCTAAAATAAGTAAATTTGAGTATGCAGAACTTTCTGACACCTCTACTACCAAGTGTGTGTACTTCAATTAATCTGTAAGCATAAAAAAGGATTTAATTCTTGTGAAGGGGGCAAAAGCCCTTCTTTCTCATTCATGGTCAAATGTCAAGTGGATTTTATACTTTCTTGGAAATAGATGTGTGGCTGCCAGCTGGAATGACACTTTACCTTTTTTCCTCATGAGACGCTTCTTATTTTTCTGTATTTATTTATTTATTTGAGAGAGAGTCTCGCTCTGCCATCCAGGCTGGAGTGCAGTGGCATGATTTCGGCTCACTGCAACCTCTGCCTCCTGGGTTCAAGTGATTCTCCTGCCTCAGCCTCACCAGTAGCTGAGATGACAGGCGCCTGCCACCATGCCCAGTTAATTTTTGTATTTTAGTAGAGATGGGGTTTCACCATGTTGGCTAGGATGGTCTCAAACTCCTGACCTCAAATGAGCTGACCACTTTAGCCTCCCAAAGTGCTAGGATATAGGTGTCAGCCACCACACCCGGCCGATATGCTTCTTATTTGAAAAAAAAAATAAAAAGTTTTTGGTAAGTTGACTTGGGAAAACCCATTCTATGCATATTGATGGGGAGGAATAGTCACAGAGAGCACTGCTTTCATGAGCTCTACCAAAGTATCTTCCCTAGCCGTCTACTCCACTGAAACAGAAGGTCTTCCCTCTAAGGGAAGTAGGAGAATGGGGGAAAAGAGAATGTGACGACAGTTCTTGCCTCCATGTTTCTCTGGTTAATCTGAATGCAGGTTTTCTAGCCAGTAAATTGTAAAATCAAGCTCATTATAATTTTGAAAAGAGAGATTAATCCACAATGTTCTTATTTTATGCCTGGAACATAGTTGGTATTCAATATCCATGTGCTCAATGAATGAATGCATGAGTGAATACATTGGTGAGTATTAATCAGGGCTTAAAGTCCACTGCATATATAAGAGGACTTTCGTTTGTGTTTATTTGACACTTGCACATTCAGAAATATTTTTAAAGTAACTTATAAGCTTTGTGATTTAAAATGGTACCTGAGCCATCATAAATGCTATTGCCATCTGGAATATATTTGTGACAATTTTCTTTAAAAGTCAGTAGTGTGAGCCATGATGCTTTGCTTTTACATGCTTGTGTATGCGTTGCCAAAGTATTTTTATAATATTATAGAATTCTGAATAAATTATCAAGAGAGGAGCCACTATCTTTGTGAAGTGTGGAAATGAAATTTGCTCATTTAAAAAGACACATCTAGAGTGTAAGAAATGTTTTATTGATACAGAATATACTCATGCATACTCACACTGCAGACATTTTAGATGGCAGCAAGTGCTTCTTTCAAGTGTTGCCTTTCGACACCTTGGTTGACTGATCTTATGGTATGGCTTGGTGGGAAGGGAATACAGGTCAATAAGCGGAGAGTGGTGTGGTAGAGAGAGGACAAAGAGTGAATAAGTGGATCATTGCTAATGTCAGAATTCCTGAAATGCCTGAGATGCCTGGAGCATTCCTGCTGGAGATTGAAATAACATAACAGAGTGACCCCAGGTCTGGAGATTCTTGCCTCATTTATTTTGCATTGGAAGTCACAGTAAAAATGGTTCTTAGTTTCGCTTGAGCACTGACCTACATTTAAATAGAAAGAAACCAATAACAGTTATACTTAAATCCCCAATGCCAATATGTCTGAAAAAATATGTTGTGAAGGAAAAGGAAGAAAAAAACAACTTTCATGGGCATAACTTATCTTTGACTGTCACAAAATCAATAGGCTTTACAGAGCAGAGGAAATTCAATAGCTCGGCATTCATAATAAAGATTGGTTTGGGTGATTTGTCTCTCTCTAATAAGGCAGGCCTTGGACCCCAGCTTCCCTTCCTTTAAAACTCAAAGGGGGTGAAGATTTCTTCATCACAGCCAAGTCTTCTTGCTTGTCTATTGTCAGGACTTTACAATGGTACTGCTTGTCTAGTCAAGCCTTGCTTCACCCAGGAGAACAGACTGCACATTGGGGTGTGGAGTAACAGATGCCCAGCTTTATACCAGCATTCAGCCTTCCTCAGCCTGCCTGACAGCCTTTTCATGCATCACGGATTCATCCATTTCAATGAGAAATCCAGAGCAATGCTGCAAGTATTTGTGTGGTTTTTTTGAGAGACTACTTTATAGAATGTGTCCAGATATTCACTCTGGAAACTGTGCCCATTGCAGAAAAATGTGAAAAAGATGTGAGTGCACTGGCCTGACCCAACTCTCATCTGAGGAAGCTTATGCCCAGACACCCATTGATATGTTCAGATCAAGTGGAGAGATAGAGGACCAGAAAGGATGAAGAGGCTGATTATCACAGGTGGTGTGCCACACCCAAGGCTTGCCAGCCCTGAGGCTGTACCACACCCAACACAGGTCCTTGAACATGGCAGGAAATAAACAGATGTCAGCTGAATTGAGGTAAAAGTCTAGCATATGATCGGGCGTGGTGGCTCACGCCTGTAATCCCAGCACTTTGGGAGGCCAAGGCAGGCGGATCACCTGAGGTCAGGAGTTCAAGACCAGCCTGGCAAACATGGTGAAACCACATCTCTACAAAAATTAGCTGGGCATGATGGCAGGTACCTGTAATCCCAGCTACGCAGGAGGCTGAGGCAGGAGAATCGCTTGAACTTGGGAGGCAGCGGTTACAGTGAGCCGAGATTGAGCCGCTGAACTCCAGTCTGGGAGACAGAGCAAGACTCCATCTCAAAAAAAAGAAAAAAAAAAAATTCTAGCATATATCAAATTCCTAACATGTGCCACTCTCTTTACATATTAGTCCTAATCTTCATAGCTTGCCGGAAAACAGATGTGTTACTGCTGTAATTCTCTGCTGTGCCAAAAACAAAAACAAACAAACAAACAAAAAACCCCAAGTTCAGAGGTTAAAAAATGGGCTCAAAGTCATATAGATAGTCTGGGTTAGAGGCAGGACTCCAATCAACACCTCCCTGACTCTGAGGCCATGTCCTTTCAACTACTCCAGAAGCCTTCTCTTAGCAACATTATCAGACCAAGGAGGAGCAAGCTGGGCCTAAGTTAAATGACATTGCTCAAAAGTTGTAAGCGTTAGGGTCCTCCTTCTCAGACTTAAGCCTCTATAACCCTACTGGACTTGAAAAACCTAGGTTTTAGTTTTGCTTCTGCCACTAACTCATGGTATGATCTTATGCCAGTTGACTTTTTTGAGCCCAGGGTTCCTTTCTATAAAGTGGCAGTTAAGAATCCTCATCCTACCTCCTTTCTCTGTGTGGACACATGAGAAGAAGAATGTACAAGCGCAGAAATTCTCACTTAACTTCTCCAATATGTTCTTAGAAACTGCGACTTTAAGCAAAATGTACTGCAGGCCCTAGAATCATATCATTTCTTTCAACATTGTTTCATTATAATGTTGATGAGAAAAAAAAAAAACAACATTGGTTTAGTTCTATGTTGTTTCACTTAAAGTTGCAGTAGATGAATCCTGGGTAGTCTAGAAATGTAGGCTAGCAGCAGTAGCTGGGGCAGAGCGCCGTGTAGGAACAGAGGGAAGAGCTAACCAACAGAACGATGGAGGGATAGAGCACTACCAGTAGGGTGGCAGCTGCCTCTCCTTCCAAGCTTCTCCGATGGGCCCTCTTGAAAAAGCAGAAAATAAACAACAGTGAGTCAATAAGTAACCACTGCATGCTTGTCAGTATTCACCTTTTGTCAATCTGTGAGCCCCCTGCAGTATGGATTGAAGGATTGGAGGCTAGGGCCACCACTGAGAAATAAGTTAATGGAATCTGCCGAGCATGGCAGCAGAGGTGACATTTAAGAAGTAAGAGCTGTAGAGCCACTGGCCCCTCATCTACCCTCCCTAGGCAGGAACCCCTCTCCTGACTAATTCCACCTGCATTCCAAGAGTGACTCTGACCCAGTGCTGCCACGGGACAAGAAGGTTGGCTGTCTTCCCCAGGATAGGCAGCTGGCGGATGAGCTGAGAGAGGTTTAAGAAAGAAGATGAAACCAGCACGCGGAACCATGGAAACAGCTGTTAGTTACTTGAAACATGATGAGTGAAAGAGCATGGAACACATGCCAGCATCAACCTGTTCCCCCACATGTTTTAAAACCTCAGGGCCTAAAGACGGCCATAGTTAGGGGAGAAAAAATGAAGATACGCCTGTGATAAGACCATCAATGGTGCTACATATGTTGTGTGTGTGTTAGGACTGGGTTTACTGTGAGTGACAGAAAATTTAAAATGGCTTAACTTTATAGAAGTATATTTCCATCATACATGCACACACATGGTCTGAAGATGGAAGACTGATAGAATGGCATCACAAAGTCATATGGAACTGGCTCCTTCTCTCATGCTGTTGCACCATCCTATCTTCAGCCTGTGACACTTATCTGACAGTCCACAATAAAGATTCAAACTCTAACCATCATCCCTGAATTCCAGCCAGTGGAAAAGAGGAAGTGAGAAAGACAGTGAACTCAAGAGTCTCACATGAGACTTCTACTTAGAGCTCAATGGCCAAAACCTGTGGCCTGATCCAGCTGTGAGGGTCATTCTTGGCCACGTTCCCAGCTAAAATGTATCTGTTCTGCCTTAAGTAAGGAAGGAAGGAAGGATCGATACTAGGAGACCATGTGCAGTTCTGTTACACAGTCATAATTAAAAATAATCCCAAAGCTTCTTCACCATAACCCTTAGAAGAGGCTAGCAGAAAAGACCAATGACTCTTTCCTACCATACCCAGATGGCTGACAATCAGCCTAGAGATATTACTCAACAGGTTGAACATGGATATACTGCAATCCACCAACTAAATTTACTTCAGAAGGTTAAAAAAATAAAACTTCTAAGGAAAGCAGAAAAAGAAAGAAGGGGAAAAAACTGGACAATTGATTGGATATGGGAATTTTAGTACTGCAAGTAGCCTGACAGACATACACAGAGGTCCCTGGAAATCAGGTCTTGAGGTTCCTCTAAAAAGCACAACCCTACACACACATACATACACCTACAGACATATACCCCTCATACTCATATTATTGCAAGTCCACATGCTGATGCCAAGGCTGTCTATCTGAGACTTGGTCACAGCTAACTCTTAAGAAATACTGTCATTTCACAAAAGATGGTTTCTATAAAAGCAACTTTCTTAGCACCGTATTACTCCTTTGATCACCAACAATCATGAACATGTAAAATATGTATTATCTGTGACTTTCTTTAAAAGTGCAAAACATATATTGAATGTAGAAGTGTTTTTCTTTTCTATCTTCTGTTGCTGAAGGTGGTGAATAGGTATAAAATTTTTTGACCCTTGCTTAAAAAGAAGATTTGAGGATTTGGGAGTTTGTGACAGCCGTTTCACAGATCTGGTGAACCAGCTAATCAGACTGCCAGTGAACCTGTTGCTGCACAAAGAAAAATTGTATTTTTTTTCAGATAAGCAATTTCTACAAATTGGATAAATTAGTGTTAGATGAAATATGATTAAAAATACTCATGACATGAATAGCTCAAAAACCCTTGGAATGTATTGTAAGTGCAGAGCCAGTATGAAGGACTAATGTCTTTTAGAAAAAGTAAATTTAGCTGCTTATTTTAATTGCAAATAGTGATGAATTAGCAAAAAACTAATAATATTTCTTTCCCTAAAAGAAATGCTGAATCTTAGTGAACTAATAACTTAAAAATTGCCAGTGCAAGAGAAATATAATATACAGTAATGTTCACCAAATATTTAATTTGTTTCTCTACATTCTTCAGTTTTCTTGCTATTAGGCAAGACTAGTTTTGCCTAATAAAATGTAAATAGATGCTGCTTAATACTTCCAGTCTCAGGCAGTAAAAAGTGCAAGAGCAGGCCGGGTGCAGTGGTTCATGCCTGCAATCCCAGCACTTTGGGAGGCCGAGGCGGGCAGATCAAGAGGTCAGGAGATTAAGAACATCCTGGCCGACATGGTGAAACCTTGTCTCTACTAAAAATACAAAATTAGCTAGACATGGTGGCACGTATCTGTAATCCCAGCTACTCGGGAAGCTGAGACAGGAGAATTGCTTGAACCAGGAAGTTGGAGGTTGCAGTGAGCTGAGATCGGGTCACTGCACTCCAGTCTGGAGACAAAGCAAGACTCGTCTCAAAAAAAAAAAAAAAAAAAAAAAAAAAAGTGCGGCCAGCAGCGGTGGTTCACACCTGTAATCCCAGCGCTTTCGGATGCCGAGGCGGGCGGATCGCCTGAGGTCAGGAGTTCGAGACCATCCTCAACATGGAGAAACCTCGTCTCTACTAAAAACACAAAATTAGCCGGGCATGGTGGTGCATGCCTATAATCCCAGCTACTTGGGAGGCTGAGGCAGAAGAATTGCTTGAACCTGGGAGGTGGAGGTTGCAGTGAGCCAAGATCACGTCATTGCACCCCAGTCTGGGCAACAAGAGCGAAACTCTGTCTCAAAAAAAAAAAAAAAGAAAGAAAGAAAGAAAGAAAATGCATGGGCAATTCTCTGATTTTTCTCCCTTCCCCTGTCATTGTGACCAAGAAGGTCTTATATTACAGATATTAGAACTACAAAATGATGTACCCAACTTTTTGAGTGATTCTTTTGTTTTTGTTATTTATTTATTTATTTTGAGACAGAGTCTCACTCTTTCACCCAGGCTGGAGGGCAATGGGGCTATCTTGGCTCACTGCAACCTCTGCCTCCCAGGTTCAAGCAATTCTCTTGCCTCAGCCGCCCGAGTAGCTGGGATTACAGGTGCCCACCACCACACCCAGCTAATTTTTTTAGTTTTAGTAGAGGCAGTGTTTCACCATGTCAGCCAGGCTGGTCTCAAACTCCTGAGCTCAAGGGATCTGCCTGCCTCAGCCTCTCAAAGAGTTGGGATTACAGGCAGGAGCCACCGTGCCTGGCCCTTTTTGAGTAATTCTATGGAGCAGAACTCCGATGGACCAGTGTGGGATGTGTAGCATGAATAATAAATTAACTTTTGTTATGCTTCTCTGATGAGATTGTCTATTACCGCAGCACAATTTAGCCAATTCTGTCTAAAATAGAGATCAACTAATCAAATATCTGGGGGAGAGCCAAGCTCTGAAATTAAAAATGAAACAAAGACAAAGCCTCAAAATCTCAGGTTCTCAATAGCTCTCTAAGCAGGGATTTTGCTTTAATTAGGTAAAGTTATTGCTAAGATGTTCTATCTAGCCTTAACTCAAGCTGTTTTATCTAACTGCCAAAAAATATTTCTCCTTAAATAGCTCTGGATTATTTGTGTGTCAACCAAGTCTACAAAATGGTTTTTGTTTATATAATATATTTTTTGACTGGGCTACTTTTCCATTAAGTTGAATACAATTTTAAGGTAGATTCCTCTCTTGGATGCTGGATCTGTTAGTTCTCTGATAGGAAATTCAGCCTGTGCAGGCCAAATCTTTGATAAAGGAAATTATCATGGGTTAGGAAGAATACATTTCACGGATTCTGCCAAATTGCAAAATCTACTCTGACCATGTATTGGAAAATCCTCAATTAGGACCCAAACTACAAAATGTTAACAAGTCAAATTAGGAACTAAGAATGATAGTGAATTGGCTGCCTGAAATAATGAATTGATGGGGCCTGTGTCAAACTGCTGAGAAGGGCTTTTATTGTAATTAGCCTAAGGCATCTAGCTGTCAACCCTAAGCACCTGAGGGTGCTCTCTAATTTCCTCGGCTTTTCAGAGCCCAGAGACATGAGGCTACCATCTAGGCAAAAGGTAACATTTATTGAGTATCTACAGTGAGCTAAATCAGGAGTCCCCAAGCCCCAGGCCACATACCTGTAGGAACTGGACCACACAGCAGGAGGTGAGCAGCTGCTGAGCCAAGAAGCTTCATCTGTATTTACAGCTGCTCCCTATTGCTCCAATTATCTCCTGAGCTCCACCTCCTGTCAGATCAGCTGAGGCATTAGATTCTCACAGGAGCACAAACCTATTGTGAACTGTTCGTGCACGTCAGGGATCTAGCTTGTGTAAGCTACTTAAGAATCTAATGCCTGATGATCTGAGGTGGAACAGTTTCATCCCAAATCCATCCCTCTGTTACTGGAAAGGGGTCTGGATCCAGACCCCAAAAGAGAGTTCTTGGATCTCACGCAAAAAAGAATTCAAGGTAAGTCTGTAAAGTGAAACGGAGTTTATTAGGAAAGTAAAGGAATAAAAGAATGGCTACTCTATAGACACAGCAGCCCTGAGGGCTGCTGGTTGCCCATTTTTATGGTTTATTTCTTGATTATATGCAAAACAACGTGTGGATTATTCATGCCTCCACTTTCTAGACCATATAGGGTAACTTCCTGAGGTTGCCATGGCATTTGTAAACTGTCATGGCACTGGTGGGAGTGTAGCAGTGAGGATCACCAGAGATCACTCTCATGGCCATCTTGGTTTTGGCGGGATTTGGCCAGCTTCTTTACTACAACCTGTTTTATCAGCAAGGTCTTTATGACCTTTATCTTGTGCCGACCTCCTATCTCATCCTGTGGCTTAGAATGCCTTAACAGTGTGGGAATGCAGCCCAATAGGTCTCAGCCTTATTTTACCCAGCTCTGATTCAAGATGGAGTTGCTCTGGTTCACATACCTCTGACACTCCTACTCCCATGCCAAAAAGGTTAGTGTGCAAAATGCCTTACTATACGTTTTCCAAAGTAGACTTCCATTTTACAGAAAAGGCAACTGAGGCTGTAAGTAGTATCTGTGAGTAGTATCTCAAGAGACAGGGTCAGGATTCAACCTGGGGCCAGGCTTTCCCATCATTGCATATGGCAACATTGACCAACATGTAAATGAGTCTACGTATCTGTATTAATCTTAATGGAAATCTTCTGGCAGGAGGTTCTAATAAAAATTGGTATCATGTTTTTAACCAAAATATCTGAGTGTGTATGGATGCATAATGTCACAGTCTCAATATGAAAAATGTACAGATTTTTGTGAAATTTTACTTTGGAATGGAAGAAACAGTAAGGCGACTCCAGGAGACAAGATTTATCACATTACATTCTTGCTGCACAATCAATAACGTGGAAGAATGCTAAAAGTTATAATTAAAACTAACATTGACACCTTGCTGGTGAGGACTCAGCACAGTGGAAAACATTTCTTTGTTCTACTCTCAATGCAGATTTTGCTTCTGAATAATGCAATTAAAATTTGTTTAGATTTTTGCTTCTATTTTAAAAAAATGTATCAAAGAAAAGAACATAGATGGATATCTAAGGCATAATACTTTAATCTCATTCTTTTTCTTTTTAATTAGATTTGAAAACAATTAGTTTTTTTTAATGTACATTCTTGATCAATAATCTTTCTGGTCATTGCAAATCCCCTTTCTTGGATATGTTACATGTATTTAGTCAGTGGATTCCTGCCTATTGCATATGAGCAATATTCATCTCATCTTTACCTTTGATTCTTACATTATGCAAACATGTAGAGACTTAAATCTTCCACTGAGGGGCTGGGGACAGGGGTAAGCTAAGAGAATTACAACAGGAAGGATGATCTTTCTGCTGTTTCTGTAACTCTGCCACCTGTTTCTGTGCTTTTTAAGCAGAGACAACTGGTATACCAACTCTACATGGGCCACAAGCTTCCTGAAAAGAGATTCTGAGCCCCTCGACCCAGGGGGCTTGCAGGAGGGGATGCTGCTAAGGGGGTTTGTTCTCTCAGGCTGAGGGAAGCCTCTTTCATTCACTTCCAGTGCTGTACAAATACTATCCTTTTTCCATCGTGTGCTATTTCTTAAAAGGTTTGAAAAATAGTGACTTAGAAGATGCAATTTTTGATCTGTTTTCTTAACAATTAAATTGCTAAAATTAATTTTACTTTCTAAATGCAGGATGATGTTTTCATGTGAATAAGCCTGATTTTACTTTAGTAAATTTCATCTGTAAAAATATAGTTCAGTGAGAACTGAAAAGCAAATATTACTGAAAGAAAACAACACGTTTCCTGAATCTTAGTAGGTAGCCAAGATATATTACCTTTCTTTCTTCTTTCCCTCTTAATCCTAATTTGTATCTGTGCTAAATGCTTACTAGGGTTTAAGTACTTTGTTTGAGGTCAGGCACCTTTTAAATTTACCCCAGTATCTACAGAGCCCTGAAAACTATGTGATGCCTTAATTGTTTCTTAAATGAAAGACATTCATTTCCTTATTTAAGAATTTTTATGTGCACTTTTACATTTTTATTTTTTTCCAACTTCCTAAGAATTAGGGGACTATAGCTGATACTTTTGGATTTCATTCTCACTTCAACCTTTCTTGTTACATGATTCACTGTGATTTCCCATCTCACTGAAATCATTCTCCAATTTCTCTTGGGGAATCACACACAAAAAAATTACCCTCATGCTCTGGCTCTAAATTCTTCTACAGAATATGGTTTTGATAGATAAACAAAGGTTTAAAATGCTTTCTTCTTTTATGTGTTTACTTAAAATGTCCAAAGTCTCAAGTTACTTAAGACTACTATAACCTGAAGTAAGAACTAGTTATTTAAAAAGAAAGAAAAAAAAAAAACAGTAGTTATTAATCCAAATTTTAGATGTGCAAATCTACCAAGGAGGTTTCTTTTTGTCATTATGTTCTCTTTTTTATTTTGTCTATGTTATATCGGAGCTGAAAATGTAATTTCCCAGTTACCTAAGTAAGCAAAGATTAACACAATAATTATAGTTTTCCTAGCTTTTCAGAATATATTATAGTAGATCTTTTCTTGCTCTCCAAGTTCTTTTTAGTTTTCTTTTTAATCCTTTCTTTCTATATTAACATTGTAAACTACCATCTTCTAGCCATTTTGAGGGAATGGTATTTTTCTTTCTTTCTTTTTTTTTTTTTTTGGCAAACAATAAAATTAGTTCAAAACCTTTGTTTCAAAGCAAAGAAAGGCTGTAGTCTTCTACCTGCCTTTATTCTAGGAAAAGCAAAACAAACCAAACATTTTTTCCTGTTACCCTCAGTCTTGTCTTTGAAATGTTTGTACAGTAGCTGATCTCTGTTAGGCCCCCTCTTGCCCTGAATAAAACTTCTATTTATAATGTCTATACATAATCCCAAAATGAAGGGAAAGGGAGAAGAAAATTATATGCATAGAGCTTTATTTAGTCATCAGAATCGGAACCCAGAAGTGAGCTGGTCAACCAGAAGAATGGGCAGTGGGTAGGGCTGGAGAGTGTATTGCTTTCGGTATAAAGATAGCCTGTTTTCTGTTTGTGCCAATAAGTAACCCTCAATCCACTCATAGCCCCATTCAGCAGGAGCAAACTATCAATCACTATTGCTGTGCAGCTGGGAAGGTGTTCCAGGGTGGTCAGCTCATTCCATCTTCATCAGAGAGTGGCTGAGTGCAGCACTTTCAAAGGCTTGTTGTAAAACTGAGGCCCATTAAAAACAACAAATAGGTAACATCAGGGAGTTTTCAGCTCATGAAACCAGATTCAGCCATCTTATGTGTGTGTTCTGATTGCCTCCTAACTGCTCATCTTCTTGACCAGCCTGCTGTCTATATGCTCTTCCACAATGACCTATTGAAAGCACAAGTCTGATGATGAAGTCTCAAAGACAAAGCCCCAAAGTCTACTGTACACTGTAAAATACTTTTTATAAGATTTCCCCCTGTGTATGTCTTGACTGTTATCTCCACCTACCACTCATTATTGCTTTAGCAATATCAAACTCTTTATAATTCTTTGAAGTTTGACCTCTGTGTTTTTTTGTTTGTTTATTTGTTTTTTATCCTGGAAAGCCATTTGTCCTTCTGTGTTCCCAGGAGCCAGTCACTTCCTTCTTTGTGCTATCTTTGCACTTTGCACATATATTTTTTATTGTATCTGTCATAGTATATCAAGTTATTTATTGACAAGTCTTCCACATATAGCCATGTAAGATTTTTCCTGTCACAATTCCAGAAAACTCTATTCACTTTGCAGAATATGCCACCTGTCAGTGTGACAGCTCTGCCTTTACTATTAGTATTAATAATAATAGCTGCTACTTATTGGACATAGGCCAAAGTCGTCTCCTTTTTTTATTTTATTTTTTTCAGTCAGAGTCTTACCCCGTCACACAGGCTGGAGTGCAATGGCGCGATCTCGGCTCACTGCAACCTCCGCCTCCTTGGTTCAAGCAATTCTCCTGCCTCAGTCTCCCGAGTAGCTGAGATTACAGGCATGCGCCACGACGCCCGGCTAATTTTTTTGTATTTTTAGTAGACGGGTTTCTCCATGTTGGTCAGGCTGGTCTCAAACTCCCGACCTCAGGTGATCTGCCCGCCTCAGCCTCCCAAAGTGCTGGGATTACAGGCATGAGCCACCATGCCCGGCCGGTCATCTCATTTTATCTGCACAATAAAATCATGAAGTGAGCACCATTCCTACCTCCAGTTTATTGATGAGGGAACTCAAGAGCATAGAGCAAAACTTGCCCCAGGTCCCATCGTAGATTGTGACTGCTTCAAGAGCAAGGTCTGAGTCTAATTCTTCCACTATCTCTGGTGCTTAGCATAGCATCTAGAATACAGGGTCAGCGAAATACATGTTGAGATGAGTGAATAAATGAATAAATGGGAAGCCTAAAAGAGAAGGTGGTAACTCTCTTCAACTACTGGAAGGGCTTCATTGAAACCAGGACTCTTTTGGTTACATGAAAACCTGGAATGTGAATTAGTTCATGCAAAATGGAAGTTATAGACTCAAAGAATTTGAATAGTGTAAGTGGGTCCCAGAATGCGGGCAAATTCTCTGTCATTCCTTCAACAGTTTTCTATTGAGCACATACTCAATGTCAGGCCCCCTGGGAGTTTGGGATACATTGGATCTCTGCCATCCTGGAGCTTATATTCTGGCAGAGGGAGACACATAATAAAAACACACATAACAATTAAGGTCTGGAGCATACTAAGGCAATATGTGCTATTGGGAAGAGGGAACTTAGAGCAGAGCAAAGGTGATGGAGTGTAAGACTGTGGTGTTCAGTGGGAAATTTGGGAAGGAAACAGTGAAAATTGAGCAAATACTTGAAAGGGATGAAGGTTATCCAGGGGTATATCAAGGTAAGAACAACCTTGGCAGAAAGAATATCCAGGCATAGTCCCTAAAGTAAGAGAGTGTCTGGAATTCCAAGAGACAGTGAGGATGCAATTTATCTGGAGTGGGGTTACCAGATAAATACAGGATTCCCGTTGAGTTTCCATATTGAGGTGTCACTGTTATAGTCGGTAGTCAGTAAAGTATCTGTGGTAATATAAAATTACATGTATTGCATGGAACATGGTTACGCTTAAAAAAATTCATTTTTTAAATCTGATGTTCACATGTTAATTAAGTGTCCTGTATTTGTATTGCTCGATCTGGCAGCCCTAATCTGGGTCAGAGTGAGAACAGGGGAAAGGTCTGTGTCTTGAGTCTCTGCCTCTCTCTGCTCATACCTGTTATTTCCCTACACACCAGTCCATCTTCCTCCATATGGAGGGAAACTTCAGGGCTTCGGAGCTTAATCCCACAAATTTTTCCATCAAAGAAGTCTAATTCACATGCAGGGGAGGACTCTGAGTGACGCAATATGAGCCAGGGACATTGTGGTAAACAGGACTAGGTACTGTGAGAGACTCAGCTTGGAACAATCACGTTGGATGGGGCAGCTACCATAGGACCCGCATGACTGTGGCTGAGAGAAGGAAAAAGTGTGTAGAGGGAGGTGAGCAGACACAGGATTTCCACACTAAGACACCTTGGCAGCTCCATGGTAGCAACTGCTTAATCAGATCCTCTGGTGGATAGAGACAACCATGATACTTAAATAAAACCCACAGTGAACCTTCCAAATTCAAAGGTTTGAATGGATTTGAAATGTATTGCCTACCTATTTTTGTTAGTTTAAAGTGTTATCTCTCAAATTATTTCATTCATTATGCCAATAATGTTCATAATTGTTTTAACATATACCAAGTGTCTTCAGGAAGAGATGTTCTACAAGCATCCTTGGTAATGAATGGGTAGAGCTTCCTAGAGTTGATAATTTCCCACAAGATAGTCCACATGTCACTGATTACAATGTTAAGCTTCCTATCCTGACTTTAGCACTGCTTGGATGGACATAAATGTTCTAGCATAGAATTACAATTCCACCTGGATTACAGAAGTTGGAATCATGTTACAATAAAAAAAAAAATGTTTGTATGTCCTCAAGGGTCTGCAAACCTGCAGTTCTCTGTCTCTCTCTCAAAGGCTTTGGATATACTGGTGATGGAATTCAAGCAATTTATCACCAGATTTTGTAATACATCTTGCTTGATAACTGTAATTATGAAGTGTCACCACTATAGCTGGCTGTTGGGGTGCTGAGGTGGAGAAGTCTCTGTGATGAAAGAAATTTACAAGCAAACATGGGAGAGTATTTTCCTGGCAGGATAAGAAAAGGGTGTGTGAGTTCTGGTGTTCAGGGTTGTGGGAGACTGTTTGGCTCCACACAGCTGGATAGAAATTATGCCCAGGGGTCACAGCCAAAACCCATCAGAAACTACACATTACAGTGTGAAGTGTCCTCTCTGTGCTCCCTGTGGAGTTGGGGCATCCTCATTTCATACATCATTTATTCATCCCATGGAGGGATTTCACAAAGAAATGGTCTGGAATAGTTATCAAGCTGCTCGTGACACTCGTGTGTGTGGGCCCTCCATTTGGGGGACCACATCTCAACCACTTGGGTTTTGCACCACCGCTTTCTTTCATGACAAACCAACTTGCTTGTTAATGTGTCTATGAAATGAGCCTTTACATTTCTCTGGAGACCTACTCACCAGCCATACCCAGACTCATGTTTTTATTTGGTAATGTTGCTAGAATCACATTGACTGGAGGAAAATTGTGCTGGGCCTCTCTCTGTCATAACATATAAACACATGCTGACACGCCGCAAAGAAGAAATCCATTTGCCGGCTTTGTCAGCATAATAGCTTCCTGAGCACTTTCACAGGCTCTGCTTAATGACTCCAGCCACACATGGAAAATTCCTCAAAGATGTGCTTATCAAAAATGCTAAAATCTATCGTGATGCTTCGTCATTGATACTACTAATCATCTGATCCTCAAGTGGTATGCAACGTGTCACTGGCTGTTTCCAGGCATGTGACAGAAAAAGCTCAGATGAACATGATTTTCTTATACCCTTATTTTGAAACACCAACAAGCTGCCCAGTCCTTTCAAGAACAGAGAAATTCCAAATAAACTGCACAAGGGTTCTATAAAGGTTGAGATGTGAGATTTGTTGGTCTTGGGCATTTGGAGATACCAGCACTGTTTTTCCTTTTTTCATTCTATTTAAACACTGCTCTTTGGAGCACCCACTGTGTGCCAGGCACTGTGTGGGCACTGGGAAAAGATAGCTTCTATACCCCCTCATCATGGTCTTGGGGCTGGGGAAGGGAACAAAACTTTTCATCCTGTAGCGGTTTAACAAGCCCCTGCAAAGACTTTCTTCTCTGATGTTAGACCCGTTTTCCAGGGAATTTTTTTTCTTTCCCAAACCCCCAAAACATCTGACCCGCAGGGGGGCAGCGCTGAGCTGCCTCACCCTTGAGCTCTCTGTTCCTGCGCACACTAAAGATAACCGGAGGCAGGAGGGGCCAGGGACACTTTCCCAGGGTAGATTTGTTCTCTTTGTCCCTTAGCCAAGGCGCCGTTATGGAGAGGACGATGGTGGTTGTTCGGCTTGTTTGTCGGAATCCCTCCCCTCCCCATCCTTTGTTGTCTGTCAACTCAAACTCCTACCAGGACACATTGGGAGAAAAGCTGTCACCATGAAAGGCTTCAGCTGCCTCTCAGTGCCGCGTCGTTCTGCCAGCTCCCCCGGCCTGGGCACTGGCATGAACGCTGTGCTGCCATTTAGAGGAAAATGAAAGGGCGCAATGAATAGAGTTAAGCCCTTTTACGTTTCCTTTTCAAGTACACCCCACCTCTAGGCACCCCCAAAATGGTATCCTCAGGTTTTCCTCGCCTCCTTTTTTTAGTAAGAAGACAATGGCCGAGAGAAGAAACAGTGCTGGTGAAACTTTAAAGGCTTCCACTGCATTTTCTGTACAAATCCAGAATGCTGCTTAACATCGGAATAGGGAAATTTCCTCCTTTCACAATATTAATTTATGTAGGGCCTGCCCCAGTTTCCTTCCTCTGACTTAGTTTGAATTGCCTTATATTCACTTAATGAAATGCAGTTTTCATTTTCATCTTAAAGATCGTTGTGAGTTTAGGGGAACCAGGCAGAGGAGGTGGACTTGTCTATATTAGGATTTCCCGATGTGAGGGTGAAATGTGTCTGGGTTAATAGGGCTCCTGCGTGGAAAGACAGGGAGAGAAGTTTTCCTTTTGCGCCTGAATGTTGCAGATCCTCTCTCTCTAGCGTTTTCAGCAGGCTGCTGATTTTCAGTTCACTCACCTCTTCTCCCTCCTGGAGCAAGGCATTGCCACTGGGCCCAAAGGAAACTATTTGTTATTCAGGTCTTTTGGGAACAAAACATAGATCATCATTAGCTACAACTTTAGACACTGCTTGTGTTAAAGAGAGAGAGGAAAAAAAAAAAAGGATAAATTAGGGAGACTAGCATAAAACAATCAAAGCTCAATGAAATGTTGGTGTTAAGGATGACCTTTCATTTCCTCATCAGGTACACCTGTACCACTGCTGCAGGAAAAGTTTTCTTTTTTTTTTTTTTTTTTTTAAATAAATATCCTCATTCTTTATATTGTTGCATGGTTTCAGTTCTTTTATTTCCTCTGACTTACTAAGTCTTTTTATTACTGTGTTCTCACTACACTTCCTCTAATGTTCATATTACTAGACATTCTTGGTAACCACAGCCTGTTTATGATGAAAAATAATCTCGAAGGGCAGAGCAGAAGGGAGTCCAAGGGTATTGTCGAAGTACTCCTTTGAAGCCCTTCAAGAGACTCCTGTCATCCTCTTCAGGCCCCCTTTTTTGGTACTGCATGCTCCCCATGATGAATGTACTTACCCTGTCTAACTGATGGACTCAAACTTGAACCCATCCTTCAGTGCCCAGCAAGAGTTGACCCTCCTGTGCTAAACTTTGTGTGCTTTTGTCGACACATGTTCCCACTTCCTGGGCTCCCAAAACATCCTGTGTAAGTATGCTGTGGATATTGCCTTATATATCTCTCTCCCCAGTTAGATCACCAACTCCTGAAGAACAGGAACGATGGTGTCTTTCATCTTCAGAGCTGTGGTGCCTGGCACACAGTGGGGAGTCAGCAAATGTTTCCAGGTATGTTTAAATAGACTTCTTCCCACCTCTTTCTCACCCTTCCATTTTGCCTACATTTCTGCTAATTGACCCAGAGCATTTCCTTTATCTTCATCACGGCCCACTGAGATAATGATGCCTACCAAGCCTCTTTGAGAGTTTGAGGGATAAGAAAAGAATATTAAACAGGCTGTATGCGAGTGTGCTGGATGTTTTTACAAAGTGTGTACATAGATGGTAGTATTTTTATTGTTTTGCAAATTGGCTGCTCATAAGCTTTTTCCTAGCCCAGAATTGGAATCGCAAACTCATATTATCCTTAAGCAATTTACTTAATGAATGCATTGACACTCCTTTTTCTCATCTGTGAAATGCAGGAATTGAATGAGAGTCTCCCTAATATCTCTTTTAGATCTAGAATGCTCACTGAGGATTAGCTTGATTGTGTGGGGCAGGTAAACTTGGTCTGGGAAGCAGAAGTAAAATAACATAGGCCCACCCAACCATCATGCACTTCAAGAAGCAAAACCCCATAAAGGGCCATTTTGATGAGTACTCATGGCTGCCAGCTGCGACTCCAGCCACAGTGACAGGGGCTGAGGGATAAATTGCCCTCCTCATTAAGAAACCGCGTTGAGAAATGCACTGGGGTGAAGTCAGGGACAGAACACAGAACAGTGACAGTCTGCTCTTTTACTAACTGTAAATTGTTTCTTTCCTTCACTTGACATTATCTAATGCAATAACATGATAGAGTTTACTTTTAAAAACCAATTTATTGGGTTTGTTTCCATTAAATAATATTTGGCAAAATATAATGAACAGTCCTTTCTCGGTATTGGTATTTTGGTGGATATCTTCTATTAGGTTGGTACAATTACCTTTATATAATAAAGTATTATATAAATTTACTTTTATGTAATAAAGGTTACCCTAGAAGAAATAAAGTAATAGTATATAGTCACAACAAGGCTTAATATTTTTCTGATTTCGTTGTGCAGACTTGTTCCAGGCTAGGTTTTTCAAAACCTAACCATATGCAAAATGTTTAACATAGTAGCATTAGCCTGTAACATAAGTGATGGAAGGATTATTATTATAATTATACTTTTTAAAAAGATTTATCAGTGGATATATAATTAGACATGTGCCAGGTCCAAAAAGAAATAAAGATCCTAAGAGATTTCCAGTGACATTGTACTTATAAGTAAATTTGTTATGGCTTTCACTGCTGTTTTTTGTTTTATTTTTATTGTTACTTGCTTTTTTTTTTTTGAATAGTTGCTTGTCAGCACATTAAAAACCATAACAGAGACAGGTTAATATAAACATACATTTCTTTTTATAGATATAGAATGTTTTATTTTTGCAATAAAATGCCATTTGAGATATTTCAGTTTTGCTCTAATGTTTTGAGACTCCATTTGGGAGATTTTGGTAATAGAGGTGGCTTATTTATCCTGCTGTTTTGTGTCTAAATGCTACATGACTGGCTAACAAAAACATGCAAATTTTATTTAAATGTGCTTGACCTTGGCAAATTCATATATATTTGTTGTTGTGGCTTTGTCCTTTGTCAACTGTAGCTGTACCTCTCTCTCTCCCTCCCTTTTTTTAACAGCTTAAACAAAAGCTACACTCATGCTATTTTGGACTCATTGCCAAATTCAGTTTCTTTCTGTCAAGTTATGATGTTTTAAGTTTCAAACAGATTCCTTTAAGGATGAAAATTTACATGTACTGCCTACTTTATTTTTAAGAAAATAAAACAAATTACTAAACTTAATGAAAATGTGGAGATTACATATTATTACTTTATTCTGTATTTATGGCTCCTCATCTTACCCCACTCTGTCTTCTCTTTATTCTTTTTCTTTCAAGCACTCCATCAGTTCCTCCCTCCCCCCATTTCTGGGCCCCATTTGCTATCAAGTATAGCAGCTTCTATGATGCATCCTACGACAAAGTGACATGGGATAATGACCAGCCTATGTTACAGCCTGCTCCATGCTGGCCTCAGGAAGCAAACCTCACTATTTACCTAAAACTCCACCGTAGGAGAAAACTGACTTGGGATTAATTACAAATAAAGAGCATTTGTCTTTCCAAAGTAGCAAATATTTTTGTCTGTGGTTGCGTGTGTATATGATTTCAAAGCCACCGTTGCCTTACAAATGTCAAAATTCTTGTTCTGTTCCTTTTAAAAATAATAATAATAAAAAAAAGCATTGGGAACTGCATTCAGCAGTTAGGAGCTGGCTAATGACTTTCCCCCATAGCTGGCTTGTCCCAAGAATGTTCAATAAGACAAAGAAGCAGCACCAGGATTGGGAAGACCAGACAAACTTAAGTGAAATTGTCAACCCCCCAGGGAGGTATTAATAGTTTATTGGGTATGGAAGATGCATAGCAAAGTAAAGGAAGAAGGTTAGTAACCTTTAACATTAAGAAAAAATAACTATTATTGTGACCAGTATAGCATGAAGCACAAACAGAGTACTCTCTGGGCAGCAAAACATAAAGTGTAGCCCACCAGAGAAATTAATAAAATGAAAGCACTGTTTCTTGCAGATGGATATGTAGGAGAATAATGGCGCAGGGCTGCGCTGAGCTGTCATGCATCAGATACTACATCTGTTATGGAAATCAGGGGAAGTGGGGGCCTTTTGTTCATGCAAGAGCCCTCCCAATAGGGATTTGGCTGGAGTAGATTTTCTTGTTATTAAACATGATTTCTAGCTAGTCGAGAGCAGATGCTTCTGCAGCATTTGGAACTAATAACCAACCTTCAAGTGTATGCCACCCCTTCAAGAGGCTGGTACTGCTGGAGACACCAATTTCAGCTCAAAGATAATGTGTGCAGTTCAGTTTCTGCTTTGCACATGAATGACACTGATACCAGATGAGCCTTCTGGCCTAGAGTTTGCTGGAGACAGTAAAACAATGACACTGGCCCTGAAGAGATCAAATTGTAATGTTTCCTATTTTTGCCTCAGTGCAAAGGTTGCAGCTTTCCAGGTACACTTGAGAGGGACAATTCAGAGTCAAGTCAGCAATGTGGGGGACTTCAATTGGAGAGCAAGGAATGAGAGTGGAGGGAAACATGCAGACTCATACTGAACTTGGCAGATACCCCCAGCCCATGCCCTTCCCAGGATCTGACCTCTGGGCTATAACTTTTGTTAAATAATTCATGAGCCCACAGGTCACCACCTAATTCACTAAAGAAAAGCATGTCTTCTTGATAAACCACCTAAATTAAACTGCCCAACATCTTACTCTTGAGTTTTAAAATTTCTGTCCGAATGCAACACATTAATTTTACAAATAAAAAAACCACAAAGCTTAGGCATTCGTTCTCTTCTAACCATTGTATAGATAGTTGTTTCCAAATAAGAAATAGGCATTTGAATCAAAATCTTTGCAAGTATAAATAAAATTTAAATTAGAAAAGCATTATGTCAAAACTTAAAATCAATACCCAAAAAATTCTAAAATGCAAAGAGTAGGGACTTTATTATTTACTTTATTCTATATTTACAAAGTATTTTTACATTTGATAGGTGTTCCTATTTATTGTTTTAATATAAAATTATAGGTATAAGTAGAGATGCAGATACAGATAATGCTTTTACCATTCACCTCAGAATGTTTCCCATTTCGAAAACTGTCCTGTAGTTAGAACTTACTGCCCTAGAAACCAGACAGTAATTCCAGGATGGAACCTATGCCAACTGTGACACAACTTGAAATGGAAGCATATTAGGCATTGCTAATACAGAAATAATAGTTCATATTTTGTTGTTGTAATTTTGTCCAAGTTGTAAAGGCTGCATCTTGAACTTGCCTACTTAACCGTTTGTTATAGCTTGGAACAGTTTCTAGGGATGTGAATTTTGGCTTCCTTCTAAATTTTCATCTATGATTCTATGTGGCCTGCCTCAACCTGTTGAGTTCCCAAATGCCTCATAGGATTTCCTCTTTGAAACCAATTCAACTCAATATATAACTAATAACTCACCTCAGGGCTCTGTCCAGAGCTCTTTCAGGTGGATTGAATGCAATCAAAAGATTTGGTTGATGGATTAAATCTGCTCTTGGGAAATTTGCTTACCCATTCATAGGTAAGCCATTTGCACCAATGCCCTCCAATGTCACTGCAGAAACAGGTACTATATAAACCAAGAACGTAATAACAACAATAATTTTCATTAGTAAGTTGCTTTCAGTTTATCATGTGCTTTCAAATGTTTGATGGAATCTAATCTGATCCTATTAATCGGAGAAGATAGTAGGTGAATATTACTTGCACTTTACAAATAAAAAACAGAACCTGAGGCAGGTCACATGGCACACTGGATATTACACAGCTAGAAAGTGGTGAAACTGAACTTCTGACCCAGAAGAAAAATAATCCATTAAAAAATTTTAAAAAATTTTTATATTACTTTGAAAGTACAATTGATTATTTTTCTGAGATCATAGTTAGAATTCTTGTTAAAATATTCAAGACAAGTAAGATTCACCAGCACTTTTGAAGCTAACTATGTCTTTCTATAACTGCTATGTTTTTGCCATATTTTTTTGGCATGTATTAAAGGACACTGAATGTAAGAAAGCTTTTAAAGGAGATGTAAACCTGGACATTCCAGGTACTTGTGATACATTAAAAACATGGCAGGTATATATATTTGTATTATTATTTTTCACAAAAAGCGTTGTTAACCCTAATGCCCTGGCCAACTTCCAGATAACAGATTACAATTTGCCTTGCTAAAAATCATTCCCTGCTGCTTTAATTAGATATGGTCTTTTCCCCTCCCTTTCTGCACAGTCTGCAGAACTGTTCTGTCCTGTCAACCAGCTGCTATCACTCACTCTAGGAGGATAAAGTGATTCTTCTAATATCAAGAGACAAAGAAATAGCCACAAAACTTCATTTCAAAACAATATATATACTTTAATGACTGGTGATTAATATTTACAAAAATTAAATCACAGAATGAAAAGGAAGCTTTTAAGATTATCCCTTTGAGCTGGATCATGGAGGGACCACATCTCCAGGAAACCAGAACACCAAATTAATTTAGCCAACTCTGCTTTTAAATCCACCCAATTCTGCCCCCATCAAAGTCAAACCAATTGTTTTTTGTATACATGTCTGCTAAGTTGATTAGCTGTCATATATACATAGTAAGAAAGGTCAGCATAGTTCTAATTATTACCATGATAGTAAATAGTTTGAAATTCTCTACTAACATTCTAAATTTGATAAGTAAGCATTTTTTTAACTGAATAAAGCCCATTTAAACCAAGGACCAAGAAAACAGAGAAAGAATTAAAAAGAAAAGAAATGTTTCATACTTTGCAAGTGGATTTGTGATGAAAATGAAATATTCATAATGTATCGCTGTAAAACAGTTTTCATGGGATTATGTGGGAAAGTCTATATCCCATATGGTGTTTCCAGACTGCCATCCCAGAGAGCTGCCATAAGGTGAAAGCTGGCTTGACAGAGGCAGTGCCCATCTGTATCTGGAGGTGCCGCTGCCACCCACAGAGCAGATCTCCATATCTGGACATGGCTCAAAAGCTGGACATTCCTCCCTGAGCCCACACAACGACTATCCTTTGCTTTGCTATTGAAGTTGCTGTGTCAGATTCCACCTCTCAGTTAACATCAATTCCTGCCTCCCCTGCTGCAAAAAGAAATCCCACTTTGGATTTCTTCCTTCATACATACATATCTGTGGATTCCCGGTATTCATAGTAACCCTCACAATTCACATACTTCTCCTTCTCTGTTTTACTTGACCCATTTCTCTCTTTCATTCCTCATGAACCACAAGGGTAGAATTTGAAAGTGGCAGTTACCATTCTTTAAGAACTTTATATGTTCATTCAGAAATCAGAAGTTGGCACATTTGCTTAAGTCTGTGGAGTTTAAATGCTAAACATTAAAAACTTGATACGTTTATGGCATCTCACATGGAGCCTATCTTGGATGTTTGTGTTTGGAAAGGTTATCATTAAATGAAAGAAGCACACCCAGTGTGGAGCAATACAGAGTGGTAGGGATTGTGGCAAACTGGAGAGCTCATTCCCGAGTACTTCTACTCTACTCGGTACTTATTTAATTTGTAACTTACAGTAACTGATATAAAATTTAAGTCATTTCATCAAAGCCAAGCTAAACGTAAGTATGGCCTCCAGCATAGATGATGTTTATGTCCTCAAAAGAAGGGTTAGAAGGTTATGTTGATATTAAATTAAGCTCAATGAAGGAGCAAGCTAGAAAAGAGTCTGACTTGTTCAAAGATGGGAAGCTGGTTTTCCCAGTCATCCAACATAGGCAGGAAGTCCCCTAGTAGAAGTCCTATGAAGGGGATTGATTTATCATGTGAAGGACAAATTGGATTTCTTCTGAATCTAAGGCAGGATTCTAAGACTAGGGCCTTTTCCAACCACATTGAGATGTTTTCCTCTTCATCACTGTTAATTTAACCCTCTCTGAAAGACATTTTTTATAGTGCCTGATGAGGCAGAAATATATAAAATGAGATAGATACTCATGAAATTGTAAAATAAGTGAGTAGTAAATTATAAAAATAAAGAATAGAAATCAATAAAAACAACTGTTACTGGTAACACCAGAGTGGCTGTCAGGAGACCTGATTCCTTGGCTCACAGCTCACCATATATGTGTTCCTGGACAAACCATTTAATGTTTCTTGGTCTGTTTCAACTTTTATAATATAAGGTAGTCAAACTATATCAATCTAGTCATAGGACTAGATTAGCAGCAGACTCATTCTTCAAATTCTACTGCAGAAACCTCTAAATTGTATAGGGCCTCTGACATCTTGTTGAAATTATCTCTAAGTTCCTTCCTACTATTAAAATTCAAAACTTGATTTATTAAAGATTCATTGAATTTTACCTAAAATGAAAATAAAGTGATTTTTCCTTCAAAATAAACTTCTACCATAACTTTATTATCAATACTCACAATCACCTTGTAAGTGCCCATTGTATGTTGAAAAATTATCTTTGTCTTCAAGAAGCTAATAATATATTTGTGAAGATGAGATTTTTTTATTAAGTGAAACCAACTGCAATGACAAACCAACTAATAAGAATGATAAACTACTAATTATAGTTACAATTTGTGTAACTTTTCAAATTATAATTAAATTATAATTATAGTTATATAACTAACATGGCTAATCCAATATAAATGAGGTCAACATTATGGTCCAAAATGACCTTGGCTGAAATTTCCAATGCCACAATCTCCTCAAATTATTTCTGGGAATCCCCAAGTTACTTCAGTTTTGCTCACCAAAGAGTCTATCTGCTAGAATCAATTCTTACTGATTTCTCTCTGTGGCTACAACTCCCTCTGCTAATGTTACTGCTTTCCAAAATGTCAAGTGGGGCGTATTCATTAGCCTATCACTGATGCTTTTCAGGAGATGGCCAGTATTTTGATGTTCCAAAAAGTATTCCTTTCCATGAGTCACAGCAGTTCGGTGCTGTGGAAATAAGGAAAGAAGCCTCCTCTTCCCAAGAAAATGCCACATCTGCTTTAGTTGATATTCAAAGCATCACTACATTTCAAGAGACCTGGAATAACTCTTAAAACCTGGCACTGAGGTTCTCCACTCTTAATCTTCTGATATAAACCCACAGTGAAATTGCTCAGCTCAACCCCTTATAAGTAATTTAACACCTGCATTTAACTAAATAATGCTTTTGTAGTAGTCCCCATATATGGGTGGTCACCTACTGATATGGTTTGGCTGTGTCCCCACCCAAATCTCATCTTGAATTGTAACTCCCACAATTACCACGTGTCATGGGAGGAACCTGGTGGGAGGTGATTGAATTATGGGGGTAGGTCTTTCCTGTGCTGTTCTCATGATAGTGAATGAGACTCACAAATTGTGATGGTTTGAAAAACGGGAGTTTACCAGCACAAGCTCTCTGTTTTCTTGTCTGCTACCATGTGAGACATGCCTTTCACCTTCCACCATGATTGTGAGGCCTCCCCAGCCAAGTGGAACTAAGTCCAATAAATCTTTCTTTTATAAATTGCCTAGACTCAGGTATGTCTTTATCAGCAGTATGAAAATGGATTAACACAGTAAATTGGTACCATTAGAGTGGGGCATCACTGCAAAGATACCCAAAAATGTGGAAGTGACTTTGGAACTGGGTAACAGGAAGAGGCTGGAACAGTTTGGAAGGCTCAGAAGACAGGAAAATGTGGGAAAGTTTGGAACTTCCTAGAGACTTGTTGAATGACTTTGACCAAAATGCTAACAGTGATATGAACAATAGGGTCCAGGCTAAGGTGGTCTCAGATGGCTATGAGGAACTTGTTGGAAACTGGAGCAAAGGTGACTCTTGTTATGTTTTAGCAGAGACTGTTGGCATTTTGCCCCTGCCCTAAGATCTGTGGAACTTTGAACTTGAGAGAGATGATTTGGGGTATCTGGTGGAAGAAATTTCTAAGCAGCAAAGCATTCAAGTGTGACTTGGGTGCTGTTAAAGGCATTCAGTTTTAAAAGGGAAACAGAGCATAAAAGTTGGGAAAATTTGCAGCCTGACAATGCAATAGAAAAGAAAATCCCATTTTCTGAGGAGAAATTCAAGCCAGCTGCAGAAATTTGCATAAGTAACAAGGAGCCAAATATTAACCCCCAAAACAATGGGGAAAATGTCTCCAGGGCATGTCAGAGGTCTTCACAGCAGCCCCTTCCATTACAGGCCCAGAGGCCTAGGAGGAAAAAGTGGTTTGGTGGGACAGGTCCAGGGTCCACATGCTGTGTGCAGCCTAGGAACTTGATGCCCTGAATCCCAGCTGCTGCAGCCGTCACTGAAAGGGGCCAACATAGAGCTCATAGCTTCAGAGGGTGCAAGCCCCAAGCCTTGGAAGCTTCCATGTGGTGTTGAGCCTGCGAGTGCATAGAAGTCAAGAATTGAGGTCTGGGAACCTCTGCTTAAGTTTCAGAGGATGTATGGAAATGCCTGGATGACCAGGCTGAAGTTTGCTGCAGGAGCAGGGCACTCATGGGGAACCTCTGCTAGGATAGTGCAGAAGGCAAATGTGGGGTGGGAGCCCCCATGCAGAGTCCACACTGGGGCACTGCCTTGTGGAGCTGTGAGAAGACAACCACCATCCTCCAGACCCCAGAATGGTAGATCCACCAATAGCTTGCACTGTGCACCTGGAAAAGTTGCAGACACCCAATACCAGCCTGTGAAAGCAGCCAGGAGGGAGGCAGTACCCTGCCAAGCCATGGGGGTGGAATTGCTCATGACCATGGGAACCCATCATCAGTTTGACTCGCATCTGAGATGTGGAGTCAAAGGAGATCATTTTGGATCTTTAAGATTTGACTGCCTTGCTGGATTTCAGACTTGCATGGGGCCTGTAGTCCATTTGTTTTGACCAATTTCTCCCATTTGGAATGGTTGTATTTACCAAATGCCTGTACCTTTATTGTATCTAGAAAGTAACTTACTTTCTTTTGATTTTACAGGCTCATAGGTGGAAGGGACTTGCCTCGTCTCAGATGAGACATTGGACTGTGGACTTTTGAGTTAATGCTGAAATGAGTTAAGACTTTAGGGGACTGTTGGGAAGGCATGATTGGTTTCAGAATGTGAGGGCATGAGATGTGGGAGGGGCCAGGGGCAGAATGATATGGTTTGGCTCTGTCCCCACCCAAATCTCATCTTGAATTGTAACTCCCACAATTCTAACATGTCATGGGAGGAACCCAGTGGGAGGTGTCTGAATTATGAGGGTGGGTCTTTCCTGCACTGTTCTCGTGATAGTGAATGAGTCTCATGAGAGTGGATGGTTTTAAAAACGGGAGTTGTCCTGCACAAGCTCTCTCTTCTTTTGTCTGCTGCCATGTAAGGCATGCCTTTCACCTTCCACCAAGATTGCAAGGCCTTCCCAGCCATGTGGAACTGTAAGTCCAATAAACCTTTCTTTTGTAAATTGCCCAGTGTCAGGTATGTCTTTATTGACAGCGTGAAAACGGACTAATACACCTACTTTATTTGTGTCATTAAATGTGAATTTTGGAGAGTTTCTTAAATTTATTATCCAAGATAGACTAGGTTATGAAAGGGTGACAAATAATCCCCACATCAGAGGAAGGAGTGGCTATTGACACTGAGGAAGTTAAGGATGAAAATGGAAAAGAGATAGAATATGAGTTGGACCTTGAAGAAAAGAGATTAGATTTTTGAAAAATGAATGGGAAATATCTGGTGAAATGAAAAAATGGAAACTCAAGGGCAAGAGTGGACATCAGGAAGTGTGTGGGCAACAGTGAGTAGAGCAGTTTCCATCATCAGCAGGTTTGTAGTGTGGTAATCAGTGGCATAAAGGTGGAGTGGTTTGGGAACAGATTGTGGAAGGCCAAGACGAAGAATTTGGTCTTTGTTCTAGAAAAAATAAGGAGTCTTTAAAGGTTATGGAAGACAAGGTGGTGATTGCAATGTAAGAAGATAAATCTGTTTGTGGAGAAGTTGATGGATTAGAAGGAGTAAGACTGATAGAGAGAAATTAATTAGTCCACTATTATAGTCATCTAGGCAATGATGGTGACAGTAGGAGTGGTGGGGAAAAACGACTGGGGAAAACTTCGCAGAGGAAATTTTAATAGGAGTGGGTGGGTGAATAAAGGAAAGGAGAAAGGGGGAGTAACGAGGTCTATGCCTACTTGTTAATACTGGCAGAATTGGCGGTGTGTGTGTGTGTGTGTGTGTGTGTGTGTGTGTGTGTGTGAGAGAGAGAGAGAGAGAGAGAGAAAGGCCACCTCAGTCTCTTATCTGATTCAATTTTCTTTGTTTAAATGTCTGCAGAGGCTCCTAAAAAACTTTCATTTTCATTTAGTTGTGTAAATTAACTTGGCTTTAGGTACTATGAAAAGAGATTCAGTGTCTAATAAATCGGGTAGTGTGATGAGCGGTGCTTACTATTTCTAAAATAAATCATAATTTTGCTTATTAAATAGTTCATGGATGAACCAGTAGGACCACTTTGTGATTTCAATGTTTTATACTTTAAAATTGTTCTCTTAGGCTTCTCAATTCAGATTGCCCCCCAAGACATTAACTAGATTTGGCTTTTCAGTTATTTGGCACCATCACTATCTCCTTTATCAGTTCAAATCATAGCTCAGGATATTTTATTTTCCATACCCCTTTGTTTACACTTATCCAGTTATGCCTCAAGTTTTGCTATTTTGCCTGCTAACATATTTCCAGCAACACAATATTAATATTTGCAAATGTTTTCTTTCAACGTATTCAAGAGGTTTTGCTTATGGCATTTTTCCAGCTGACAGATTCTGAGTATCCCCATGGCCGGCCATCTGTAATTTCTCCAAGTGATCAAGGAAGAAGAATGGACTCTGCTTTCTTACTCCCTCCTCTGTGGCTGGTAGTTTAGGGCTATAATGGGTATTAATGTTATAGGATTGACAAATATATGTTGATTCCCTCTCCATCTCCCTTTCTGTGGATGCTGCCCACAGTCTGTGCTGCTAACCACACAACACAACTCAAGACATTTGCATTTTATACCTAAAGACTTGAGCACTAGAGCCATTTCACAGTGATGGACTGCATTATCAGGTTACCCACGACATTTTTAGTTGTAACTTTATTAAAACCATCATTGCATCCAAGTCAGTTATGAGTAATAAAGTAGATAATTTTCAGAAAAAAATGATGTTTTAAAGAATTTCAATATTTTTGCTTTAGGAATACATTGTTTAATACGTATCTGTCACTGAAAGTCAACACTCAATCAGTTGTAACCACAAGCTAAACTAAAATATACTGATGATGGTATCATGCTGATATAAGAATATACTACCTATCAATGTCATCCAGGTAAATAAATGACTATTCTTCAGGACTTGAGTCATATTTGGCCTAGCTCCAGTAACTGCACTCCTAACCACCACCCTTGGGCTCACTTGCTTATAAGATGTCAAAGCACTACACAACCTTTATAAAACAGGGTGGTATGGCTGTAATAATAGATAAATAGACCATTGGAACAGAAAATAGATTCCAAAAAGTCATCTACATCTATAAGAGAATTTGGTAGACGATGATGATATGGGAAAGATAAGTCATTCAATAAATAAGGTTTAGAAAATAGAATGATTTGGGAGGGAAATTGTGATCTGATTTCAAACAACATACAAAGATAATTTTTGAATAAATTAGAAAGTTAAATGTAAAAAATAAAACTATAAAAAGCAGTAGAAATAGTGTGGAATTATTGAAATATGATAGTACTTTCATCTATATTTTATGAAATATTATTGAAGCATTAAAAGTAAGGTTTATTTATATGTGCTAATATAGAAAGACATCTGTATTAAATTTAAAAATAATGTCCTGATAACATAATAGTATAATTTCCTCATGTAATATATGTATGTATGTGTGTACAAACACATATACACACATACATTCCTATGTCTTTACACACACATACAAGGGAAAAAGATAAGACAGATAATTCTCAGTGTTAACAGGAGGCTGATAAGAAACAGTTTATAGATAATTCTGATACTATATCTTTTTCTTGTATATTTTACTCTATCACCTATACTATATTTTTTTATTTTATAAAACTATGCAGGCATTCTAAGAATATTTATGCCATCCCTTCAAATAAAAATAATATTCGATATTGTTTTATGCTGATGAAATGAGACTAAAACATTGTCAATAACTTCCGAAAGTCCTTTTTGTGCTATGAGGTGGGCTATCACCTCTCCCTTAGACTTGAGCAATCGCATCCTAATTCATCTCCTGCCTGCAGTCTTGTGCCTGTTCCCTCCAATCTGTCTCCACATGGAAGACGTGGATATGAAGTTCTCCATCCCCCAGCTGTGTCAGTGCTGAGATGTCACTTTCTCTGCAGATTCCTCTATCTAAATTGGTGTACTCTCTTAGAGCACCCTGAACTTTTTCCTGATATCACATACCACAATTTACCCTTGCAGTTTTTTGCATTTCTTTATTTAATACTAGCTTTGCTATTCTGTAAGCATCATGGGGGCAGGGATAGGGTCTCTTTTCTTCCATATGGAAGCCCCATCATTTAACACAGCAACTGTCGTGCAGCGGTTAAGTAGTTAACTATTGAATGGATGAATGAGTGAATTGCATGAATAAACAAATATGAATTAGATGAATAAATGAATTATTCAAGACAGAAACCACCAATTACAAAGTATATCTATTAAAGAGAAAATAGAAACCATAAATTTTTTTTCATACAACCAGAAGGGAATTTAAGAACAGGTACCCTGAGAAAAAGTGGGCAATGATGAAGCCTATCTCCTGATTTTCTTAGAATCTTTTTCAACAAGAACCATGGCAGGAAGTGCTAAGTGATGAAGGTCAGATTTGTTATTTACAAAGCTGCCTACATTTTCCAGCTCTATTTCAGGTCAGGACTGGCAAGATAACAAGATACTCAGGAGAGTTCTTCTTTGATTCTGTAAATGAATGTTCTAAAAGAAACATATTGGTGAAAGACACAGCCCTCAGACCCTGGAAGGAGAGTAACGCAGGGCTGGCCTGAGGGAGAGAAAAAAATCAATAGCTTTAACAGTGAATGAGACCAGCTTCTTTCTAACTAACGTTGGCAAAGGAGGAACCCTCTGGGGCACTGATATTGGCACTGTCTCCATCAATTTCCTCTGGCTCTGCTTGATAGCAGCTAACAGCAGGGTTTGGGGATGCAGTGGGGTTAGCTGAGCCCGGGAGGGGCAACCAGGGAAGCCCAGTTGGCTCACAGAGATGATTTCCCTCTGCTTAATTCCCTGCTCTCAGCCACTGGGAGCCCATGGGACATCTACCAGGCAAGAGGCTGACCTTGGGAGCATTAATTATATTCCTGAATTGAAATTAGGGCTTCAGTCACAAGCTTTCTCTTCATCAGCCATTGTATTCTGCCACATAATGGAAAAGAAATTTAAAAATTTTCAAAATTAAGATTCTACCATTCAGGCAGACAACTCTCAAACAATGAAAAGAACTCCTAGGCATCATCCTTCTCCATCCAATTGGCTAATGGTAGACGAAAATTTTAAACTCAAACTTTGTTTCGTATCACAATGGTCTGTATTTCTTCCAAGAAAAAGAAAATGGTTTCCCATGACAGTATCCATTAATCAAAATCGATAGCCATAAAAGCAATTTTTTGTTTTTGAGTTAAGGGAGGAGAAACCATCTGGAAAGAGAAACCTGACTCCTCAGAAAGGAAACACCCTCAGCCTTGCATCCAAACTAAATTATCCCGTCACCAGGAAAGCAAGGCCTTTTTTAAAAAACAATAATATCATATAACCATTTAGCCACTGGTACAGTCTTACCGTTTGTTTGTTTTGTTATCTTTTTTAATATAGGCAATTAATTTAAATTCCAGGATCTCCTTTCTAAGTTTAGTTAACTATGACATCATTCTAAACTTATACAACTGAGAAGAGTTGATCATCTCCTCTTGGTCCATCTCTTGTAAATAAAAAATCTTCATAACCATGCCTCTCTCTCATCACTCTATAATAACTACTTAGTTACAATTTTGAGTGCAATGTACATATAATATTTATTGGTTTACTTATGGATTTTAGTATTTATTTAGTAGGTGCTAGAGAAAATCTAAAACTACAGAAAATTAACTTAAAGTAAGTTTGACTAAAAGTTTGTAGTACTTAAAGATAATGTAGGATGGGAGAAAATAATATTAACAATGTGAGAAAGGAAACTGCCCTATTTTTGCATTTTCTAGCATGTAATAGGAAATATAAATGTCCAACTATAAGTCAACCTTCTCTCATTTTCCTATTTATATAGCAGAAAATATTACTATTCATGCATCTTCAGTGTAGTTCTATGCCAGCGTTTCTATTGGGTTCTTCTGATTTACTGCAGTCATCTGGAGAGTAAAGCTAAGAAGTCAACCTGGTCCCAGTCCCAGAGTCACAGACATCTGCCTCAGCAAAGCTGAAATTCCTTGAGCTGAAGATTTGCCTGTGATCGTTGCTGATGACAAGGAAATTTGAGCTCTATCTGGCTTAAAGGGAGGAATTGAAAAAAACTATTTAGCTAACTTCAGTCATTTCTCATTCTCTCATGACTGCCCAAACTAGTATTTTTAAATACAGAACATAAGCTTTCATGGCCAAGGAAGAAGGCAGTGCTGAAACTGCTTGAGAATTAATCAGGTCTTGGTTTAAAAACCAAGTTTACAAAATATTAGCTGTGTTAGCTTGCACCAAGTATTTGTCTTTGAGCCTCAGTTTCCCCATTTGAAACCTAATTTAAAAGGTTGAAATAATGTATGTAAAGCACTTGGAATGTAGTAAATGTTCAATGTTTGTTATTTTTAATGTATTTGATTTTTATTACATTGAAAAGTACCATGAGAAATAGAAATGGAATAAATAGTTTCTAATAAGAAAAATTCAACGAACCATTTTCCTTTTCTTGTGAATGTATGTCATGTTGGTCAATATTAGACATTAAATGGAAGCATCAGTACATATTTTCTAAGGCAGTTGTTGTTGTCTGGCAATGAGTAGTTTACATATTTTTTCCAAATACAGTCATGTGCCACATAACGGTGTTTCAGTCAACAGTGGACTGCATATACAGTGGTTCCACAAGATTATAATGGAGCTGAAAGATTTCTATCACTTATTAGTGATGTCATAGCTATTGCAATGTCATAGCACAAAGCATTCTGGTTTCTAGGTTTAGATACACAAATACTCATCATGTTACAGTTGCCTACAGTACTCAGGACACTAACATGCTGTACATGTTTGCAGCCTAGGAACAATAGGCTATGCCATGTTGTCTAGGTGCATAGTACACTCTAACATCTAGGTTTGTGTAAGTACACTGTATGATATTCACACAACAATGAAATCGCCTAAGGATGCATTTCTCAGAACATATCCCCATACTAAAGCAACACATATCTGCGAACTAATCTTGTGCTGGTCTATGTTGTAGAAATTGAAGAAATTTGCACTCGTATGCTAAGTAAAACAGGCAAGACTTGCATCTTAGGAAAAAATCTAGTCTTGGCCGGGCATGGTGGCTCACGCCTGTAATCCCAGCACTTTGGGAGGCTGAGGCGGGCTGATCACGAGGTCAGGAGATTGAGACCATTCTGGCTAATACGGTGAAACCCCGTCTCTACTAAAAAATGCAAAAAAAAGAAAAATTAGCCAGGCGTGGTGGCCGGCGCCTGTAGTCCCAGCTACTAGGGAGGCTGAGGCAGGAGAATGGCGGGAACCCGGGAGGCAGAGTTTGCAGTGAGCCGAGATGGCGCCACCGCACTCCAGCCTGGGGGACAGAGCGAGACCCTGTCTCAAAAAAAAAAAAAAAGAAAAGAAAAAGACAAGATCTAGTCTTACCTATGAGTTCTTCTTCTACCTATCTCTGTGAGATAGACGGCTATCCATACAAATACCTTCAGAATCTCATTCATTTATCCATTCACGCATGCATGCATCCATTCAGCAAATACTTATACTTTCATGAGAGAAAAGATCCTCAACTTGCCTGATTTACAAGTCGTATAAAAAATTATTTAGGAGAAATAATATCTAAGGGTAATTGTCTCCCTATAGTTTCAAACATTAGTATTTTTTAATTGTACAATAATATTCATTTTAGAAAGTCAGTCTTACCCTCCAAATATAACTGCTATTAACAATGATTAATAACAACCATAGACTTAAGTTGCTATGTATAATTGCATGCATATATTGTTTTTTAAAATACATAGCTTGGCAACTTTCATTTTTCTTTAAAAATATGCATCCTTTCACAAGTGACAGGAAACTCAATGCCATACAGCTTCATAGAGGAAATTTATTGGCTCTTATAATTGAAAGGTTGATAGCTTGAGACATGGCTTAATCCGGTTTAATCGTTTAACACTTTAGACAGCCCTGTGAGGTGTATGCTGTGAAGGCAAAAACAAATGTCTGCTATGTAATATAAGGTAAATATTTTTACATGTGATTGAAAATAAATATACTTACATATACATCAATAAATATGCTTTTACAGCATTATCCAGGAAAGATTCTATTTTTAGACACATTTATTTAACTAATTTCCTATTGTTGAACGTGTGTAGTAAGTATAAAATAATGATTGAAAATATAGGCTCAAATAACCAGATGATTAACTTTGGACATGTTATTTAATCCTCATCTATAAGATGAGGATACTAATGAAACCTACCTGATAAAATTCTTTTAAGTTTGAAATTAATTCATATAAATTGTTCACAGTAGTGCCTAGCATATACTAAACATTCAATAAAAGATGGTATTATTATTGTTGCAGCTAGTATTTTTGCTATTATATTATGTAATGTCAGTGATGGATATATTCTCATATAGGAGGCGTGAAATTTAATGCACTTTTTCCCTTCCGTTAATATAAACTTAGATTTGTAACATATATTGGTTTTATGATGGCATTATTTTTTATTTTACAATTCTTTTATAAGAATATTTTGATATTTGTATTTTGTTTTGTTTGTAACTAAACTTACAGCTGTGTGTATGTGTTTAAATAGTTTTAATGTTGACCATCTGCTGCTGGGTAAAATGACCTCTCTATCTAGCTCCTAATTTTGTTTTCTATCTCAAAGTATATATTTAAGAATTTAAAAAAACATAAAGCTGTTATTATTTTTTGCCTATGTATGTCTGAGTATTCACTTCCGATTTCTTTACATATTAAAAAACAAGCTGACTGAGTATGAAATTTTTCACTTACAATTGGCTCCTTTCAAAACAATGTAGATATTACTCTATTACTATTGTTGTTATTTTTGTTTTGTTTTGGTATTCTGTCATGTAGATTCAAACAATTTAAATTTTGTTCCATTTGTAATACATTTTCTTGAACCCTGTATGGTTTTACTTTATACTTCGGCCAAGATCAGTTAGGTGTAACTCTTTTTCATTGTCATTGCCTAGAGAGCATGGTGATCCCTTCAATGTGTACCTTGCTGAAGAAAGTTTTCTTCTGTGATATCTCTGATGTTTTTCCTATTCCATTTGTTCTTTTGACACACAATTATGGATATGCCTGTTTTCTGTCCTTCTGCTTCCACATTACTCATTGGGTTGAAAATTCATTTGCTCCACAGGTCTATTATCCATTCCTCTCCACTGTGTTCTATGTCTTGGGAGTCTGACCTTCATGACTGTGTAATTGGTTTCCCTGGTCCTCTGCCTTTGTGTGTGTCTGGCCAATGGAAGACATCTGCAGGAGACTGGAGGGCAGAAAAAGCTAGGAATTTATTCCCTCAGTTTCCCCCAAGCTGGGACAAGGCTTGACAGTGCTTGAATAATTCTACCTCCAGCCACAGCTTCTGTAGACGATCTTCTACTGTTTTCTCCAGGTTTCAATATTTGTTACTCCCTCACTTCTTCTGACCTGAGAGTGGTAACTCGTCTCTATTATTGCTACTTCTAGATGCTTCACTATCCCTTGCTGGTTTCCCTTAACTCTACTCATACCATTGTACATAGTTCTTTCATTAAAACCCCAATTGCTCTACTTGATTATTTCCTTCCAAAACCTTTATTTATTTGCTGATCTAATCATATTTTCTCTCATTGTTCTCATATTTTTATTCCCTTATGTTCATCCATGAAAGTTTCTCAGTTTTGTCTGTGGATAGTGGCTCTTTAATGCATTCAGTTTAGGGATCAATTCCATTCTATATTTTTTAGTATCCTTGCATTATTTTCTTATTCAGTCTCTTTTTCACTTTAGTTAGATAACTTTTTGCCTCCACCTGTTTTCTTTTAATAACTGTCACTTCAGCCTGGCGCAGCGGCTCACATCTGTAATCCCAGCACTTTGGGATGCCAAGGCGGGCAGATCACAATGTGAGGAGCTTGAGACCAGTCTGTCCAATATGGTGAAACCCCCATCTCTACTAAAAATACAAAAGTTAGCCGGGCATAGTGGCACCCGCCTGTAGTCCCAGTTACTAGGGAGGCTGAGGCAGAATTGCTTGAACCTGGGAGGCGGAGGTTACAGTGAGCCAAGATCATACCACTGCACTCTAGCCTACGGGACAGAGCGAGACTCTGTCTCAAAAAACAAAAAGCAAGGAAGCAAACAAACAAAAAATATCCTGTCACTTCTTGCTTTGTAGAAGACATGTTTTCTTGCTATTTTGTTGGGTTGCTAGATGTTTATTGAAGGTTTGTTTTTTAAGTCTACAAGCAATCATTTTCAGAGTCCAGAGTGCCCACCATTACTCTATGGAAACTTGCATTCAAGCAATTGTTTTCAAAGGCAAGCTTTCATTCTTAAACTTCTTGTTGCTATTTACTTATTTTTTCCTTAGGAGATTTTTTCCCTTCCCCACAGGCTTCAGTTTTCTCTCTATATTTATCCTGGCGCCAGGTGAAATCTGTGCAGTTACACTGTAACCATCCCGTACCTCTCCTCTCTGTCTTCTCAGTCATTCCCTGGGTAGCATGTTCTTTGCCTGTATGCAGAAAGATGTTGACAGTGAGGATGATCCACCATGGGAAAGTGACCAGGGATGGACAGCAAGGGTGTCCAGTTCTTCACTATGACAGGTTCTAGCTCTTGTAGTCATGAAAACATGTTAGGGGAATTGTGAAGTATTTCCCTACTTCTTTCAGGTAACTCCTTTTTTAGGAAACAAAACTGTGATGTACCAAGAATATGCTATAATGATTAGGAGTAGAGATTTTCTTGGTTTAAATGTCAACACCACCATTTGCTAGCTGTATGCAAATCAACTTCTCTGTGCCTCTGTTTTCCTCAACTGAAAATGTTATTTAATTATAGTAAATATTTTGTTGGTTTCTTGTACAGATTCAATGATTAGTACAAGTAAACCCCTTAGAACAGTGCCAGGTATATAATAAGTACTACATAACTGCTTGCCATTATTCCTGTGAGTTGTAGCTGGGAAGATTTTTCTCTCAATCTGACTCCTTTATAATTAATGTCAATTATCTATAATCTTAGTAGTGAGTCATTTGTCCATTATGATTTTTGATGTACAAGATTTCAGTTTCTTCTTTGTCTCCCCAAGTACTTTAGGGAAAGATATTGAGAAGTTTGGAAATGATCTTTAGACCTTCTTGGAATAAGCTGGACCACCAATAAAACGTGGACTTTAGTTGTAATTTCTAAACACTCTGCAGAATTGCTTTCATCAAGTAGGTTTTGTAGTACTAGGTGGGTGCAAAAACTGCAATTACTTCTGGACCCACCTAATAACTTACTGCCCTTTTAAAATGAAAGCTGAACTCCCCAGGTTATAAAACCTAACATCACAATTTAAAACTTTGGAGGAATTTCAGCCTAAAATGGTTTTTTTTTTTCTTTTTTTAGAAGAACCAGGTAGGGAGTTCTAAAAATAACAAACACTAAAACAGATCTGTTTTTTGACACCAAATGTGTGAGTTTTGTACACCAAAAAATTCTCTAATTCTCTGTGAACACCAACTGGTCTCCTACAATTTAACTCAACTCTGACAGTAACTACCAGAGTTAGCCCAGACACCCACAAGTTAAGAGCTCTGTCCCACAAAACTGCCCCCCACTTCAGACCCTAGTCACAAGTTCCAGGTTATGACCTGTGCTTCTGACCAACCAGCTACAAATCAGAGGTACCCACACCACCTCCACAGGTTCAATAATTTGCTGGAATGGTCCCCAGTACGCAGGAAAGTGTTTTACTTGCTATTACCAGTGTATTATAAAGGATGCAACTCAGGAACAGCCAAATGGGAGAGCTGGATGGGCAAGGTTTGAGGATGGGGGGTTCCAGCAGCTTCCATGCCCTCTCCGGGTACACCACTGTTCTAGCACATTGATGTGTTTACCAGTCCAGAAGCTGTCCAAAGCCTGTTGTTTAGGGTTTTTATGGAGACTTCATTACATAAACCTAATTGATGAAATCATTGGTCAATGGTGATGAAGTCGCTCTCCAGCCCCCTCCTCTTTCTGGAGGTCAGGGAGTGGGGCTGCAAGTTCCACTGCTCTAATCCCATGGTTGATTCCTCTGGCAACCAGGCTTCATGCTCCCAGAGCCACCTCAGCAAAAACTCTCGTGTAATTGAAATGGGTTTATTATGAGTAACAAATATGCTTCTCTAACTCCTACCACCCAGGAGATTCCAACGATTTTAGAAGCTCTGTGCCAGGAACTGGGGGCAGAGAGAAAATATATATATTTCATATTACATCACAGGAATATATACTGTATTATTGGAGAAAGGAACGACATCAAAATGTGCTTTGGTGAAACACATCTCTAGACAACCTGTAACCAAGCTTCAAATCCTGCCAACTTACCTCATTCTGTTTAATATGACCCAAATGAGCTCCGGGTTTTTCAGAGGAAATTATAAAGGCAAAGATTATACTTGCTTTGGGAACACTTGAACGAGTAAGAATTCTGTCTTGCCCTTTATTCTCTTCAGTTTGCACAAGCTTATGTAAAATGATCAAAAGAAAAATAATATAAATGAAAAATGATCTCTCACTACAACTATCAATAAACATATTACCAAATTCATGCTTTTATTTTGGAGTTTCTAACATTGTTCTTGCTGATTTGAAGTTGCAACAATAAGATATTGATAAATGTGTAATAAAAACATGGAAAGCAATTTGGAGCAATATTAAAATATGAAGAACTTCAACAAACAAAAATGTGTCCACCAAAGTGTCCACATCAATTTTTATATTTGATCCTTTGAATTCAACTTTTAAATTTCACATCCTTTCTGTGTGTACAAAGCTGCAATGTGAATTGTGATTAAACTGACCTGGAATTATAAGAAATTACTATCAAAGAAGCAGTTGAACTTTTCAATTAATCTTTATTGCACTAAACTAATGACTTGCACTAACATTACAGTTGTATTTTAAACAGTGTCAACAATTTAAACGAGCCAGATAATTGATTGAACATGAATTAACATAGGTGGAAAAACTAATGGGAAATAAATTATTTCCACAGTAGTAACATTTTATTTAAACTATATGATAATTATGTCGACTATAACTGGGGCCGATTTAGTGTGCTACCAGAACAAATTGATGCTATACATTTGAAAAGCAAGAATATCTATGTGCTAAATCTGACAGATCTACCTAACACATAGCAAAATAAAAGTTTGATTATTGGCTAAGTTATGTAGTCTAATATGAAGAGAGAAACTGAGAATTATTTTAATTAACCAGAAAATTGACAAATCTCTTCTTGATTGTGGCTGTGTAGAGGAAAGCTCAACAGCATCTCTGAACAGAGTTTTGTTTTTTGTTTTTTGATTTTTTTTGTTATTGTTGTTTGTTTGTTTTGTTTTTCTTGTTTTGAGACCGAGTCTCACTCTGTTGCCAGGCTGGAGTGCAGTGGTGCAATCTCAGCTCACTGCAACCTCTGCCTCCCGGGTTCAAGCGATCCTCCTGCCTCAGCTTCCCAAGTAGCTGGGATTACAGGCACCAGCCACCACTCCCAACTAATTTTTGTATTTTTGGTAGAGACGGGGTTTCACCATGTTGGCCAGGATGGTCTCGATCTCTTGACTTTGTGATCCGCCTGCCTCAGCCTCCCAAAGTGCTGGGATTACAGACGGAAGCCACCGCGCCCTGTGAGTTTTGTTCTTAGAGGTACACTTTTGGAGTCTCTGATGAGAATCAGTCTTAGTAGTGAACACTGAATGTGGGTGTCTATGTGTACGTTTCCCTTAAGTGTAAAATATAAATATTGTGCTAAAAATGAAGGAGAAAGAGAGGACCACACATGTGAATAAAGGAAACTGCAGAGACTAAAATAAAACTGATTGTGTACTTAGAATTCTTTCTGGCAATATGTTCTTTGAAGAGGATAATGGCAAAGTCAGAAACTTTCATGTGTGAGAAGCTACAAGGATAATTATGTCTTCAGCAAAAAGGCATGCAAAAACTATCCTACAGGTTTCGCCTCCAAATCAGTGGAAGAGCAGGTTTTTTGTTCCAGAGGTTACCTATACAGGAAACATTTGTGTTTCTGAAGATGAAAGCTTGTCAGAGGTTCTGGGAACCAGCCAAAAACGACTAACTTCTCTGACAGGATGTGATGGATGATTTAAAAGGTATGTAAAGAATAGAGATACAATCTGACGGTTAGTCAATTGATCTTTAAAGAAAGATTTCAAAGAAAGAAAAGCAGTCTTTAAAGAAAGATTTAAAATATACATAAATATGTATAGAACATTCTAATATCTATGAATAAAAGAATGTTTCAGTGGTATTTGCTATATACCTAATCAGAGAGCAATAAGAGTCACTCAAAAATTATCTTTAAAGTGATATTTTAAAATGAGAGGTGAGAAATTTTAAACTCAAATCTGGAATTGTCTGGAGCATTTTGTGTAGAAGATAGAGTCCCATGTAGTCATTTATACTGCTTACATATATGTTTAGTGATTGTGTTGCATAACTCTTGTAGCAACAGAAATTCCAGTTTTCTGTTTCATAATTTTACAAAATACCATTTGTGTAAATTTTATAAAAACACCATGTCATAATTTTACAAAATTTCATTTCTGTAAATTTTGTAAAAAAACAAATTTCATTTCAGTACGTCATAATTGTACAAAATCTTATTTCTAAAAATTAGTCTCAACAATTCAAAACACAAAGTAATTGGTGTTTATGATTCCTTTTCCTTCTCTTTATGTGTTATGTCTTTAAATATCCCAACCCTCTGAGTAGCCATTTCTGTAATAAAGCACCCATTTCACATGACTGCCTGTTCTAAGATGTATTCCTCTTCCTTTGCTGTGCAAACAACCTGACCTTTTTTTTGTTGTGGTGGTGAAATATACATAACATACAATTTACCATTTCCAACATTTTTAAACGTATAATTCAGTGGTTCACAATGTTAGGCAATCATCACCACTATTCATTTCTAGAACTCTTACGTCATCCCAAACAGAAACTCTATACCCATTAAAAAATAACTCCCAATTTCCCACAGCCCTTGGTAATCTTTAGTCTACTTTCTGTCTCTATGAATTTTCCTATTCTAGGTCCCTCATACAACTAGAATCATATAGTATTTTTCCCTTCCGTGTCTTTATTTCAGTTAGCATAATGTTTTCAAGATTCATCATATTGTAGCATATATCAAAATTTCATTCCTTTTAGGGCTAAATAATATTCCATTACATGTATATACTATGTTTTCTTTATCTGTTCATCTGTTGATGGACATTTGTGTTCCCACTTTTTGGCTATGGTGAGTAATGTTGTTATAAACGTTAGTGTAAAAGTATTTTTTTGAATCCCTACTTTCAACTTTTTTAGGTATATAACTAGAAGTAGAATTGCTGGATCATGCTATAATTCTTTGTGTTACTTTTTGAGGAAGCACCAAATTATTTTCCACAGTGGCTACACCAATTTATATTCCCACCACCAGCAAGATGGCACAAGGTTCTAATTTCTCACCAACAACTGTTATTTTCCTTTGTTCTCTTTTTTCTTTTTTTCTTTCCTTCTTTTCTTATCTCTTTCTTTTCTCCTCTTCCTTTTTTTCCTCCTCCTTCTCCTTCCCCTCCTCCTTCTCCTTCTATTTTTAAATAATAGCCAACTTAATGAGTATAAAGTGGCATTTCATTGTGGTTTTGATTTATAGTTCCCTAATAGCTAGTGATGTTGAACATATTTTTATGTGCTACTGGCCATTTGTGTATCTTCTTTGGAGAAATGTCTATTTAAATCCTTTGCCCATTTTTGAATTGGTTTATCTGTTATTTTGTTGTTGACTTATAAGTTTTTTTAAAAATTCTGGATATTGGCCAGGTGCGGTGGCTCACGCCGGTAATCCCAGCATTTTGGGAGGCCGAGGCAGGTGGATCATGAGGTCAGGAGATCAAGACCATCCTGGCTAACACGGTGAAACCCCATCTCTACTAAAAATACAAAAAAAAATAAAAATTAGCTGGGCGTGGTGGCAGGCACCTGTAGTCCCAGCTACTAGGGAGGCTGAGGCAGAAGAATGGTGTGAACCCGGGAGGCAGAGCTTGCAGTGAGCCAAGATTGCGCCGCTGCACTCCAGCCTGGGCGACAGAGTGAGACTCTGTCTCAAAAAATAAAAATAAATAAATAAATTTTAAAAAAAATTCTGGATATTACTTTTTACCAGATATATGCTTTGCAAATATTTTTCCCCATTCTGTGGGTTGTCTTTTCACTCTCTTGATAACATCCTTTGGTGCTAAAATGTTTGAAATTTTGATTAAAGTCCAATTTACCTATTTTTTTCTTACTTGTGTTTATACTGTTGCATTCAAGAAATCATTGCCAATTTCAATGTCATGAAGATTTTCCCCTAGGTTTTTTCTAAGCATTTTATAATTTCACCCTTACATATAAGTTGTTGACCCTTTTGAGTTAATTCTTATATGTAGCATAAATTAAAGGTCCAACTTCTTTATTTTACATGTGAATATTTAGTTATCCTAGTGCCATATGTTGAAAAGACTGTCTTTTCCCTATTGAATGGTTTTGGCACTATTGCCAAAAATTAATTGACCATATATGCAAGGGGTTTTTGTCTGAGTTCTCTATTCTATTCCATTAGTCTATATGTCTGAGCTTATGCCAACACCACACTGTTTTGGTTATTATAGTTTTGTAGTGAGTTTTGAGATTAGGAAGTATAAGTCCTCCAACTTTGTTCTTGTTTTTCCCCAAGATTATTTTGACCACTTATGGTTCCTTGATATTCCAAATGAATATTAGGATGGATTTTTGTATTTCTGCAAAAAATAGCATGGGAATTTTGATAGAGATCTCATTGAATCTGAAGATTGATTTACATGATATGGTCATCTTAACAATTTTTTCTTCCAATCCATGAACATGTGCATATTTTCATTTACTTAAATGTTGTTTAATTTCTTTCAGCAATTTTTGTAGTTTTATGTGTACTAGTCTTTCACCTTCTTGGTTAAATGTATTTCTAAATATTTTATTATTTTTGATGCTATTGAAAATGGGATTGCTCATTGTTAATCAATAGAAAGGCAACTTGTTTTTTGTGTTTTTTTTTGTATCTTGCAACTTTACTGATTTCGTGTATTAGTTCTAACAGTTTGTGTGTATATGTGTGTAATCTTTAGGATTTTGTACGTATAAGACTATGTCATCTGTGAACAGAGATAATTTTACTTCTTTCTTTACAGTTTGGATGTCTTTTATTTCTTTTCCTTGCCTAATTATTCTGGCAAGAACTTCCAATACTATGTTGAATAGAAATGGCAAAAGTGGGGGTTCTTGTGTTGTTTCTGTTCTTAGGGAAAAAGCTTGTCTTTCACCATTGAGTATGATGTTTGTTAATTGTGACAATCCCACATTTGACTAATATTTTAATTACTAGACTCTACTAAAAAAACTGAGAAATCCATTTGACCTAAATTAAATAAGTGATAACAGTTTTCATGTCACTTTTCCATTGAGAAAGAGAAAGTGGTCTTTAATATCCAGGGCTGGCCTGGCACTCATTGCCAGGTTGTGGTGTTCAGTTGAATATGCCAGTTTTGTAGAACATCAACATCAGATAAAGCCACTCAAGGATTATGAAAGATGAGGGCAAAAACAAGACTGCTCCTTAATCATGTCTGAACACTAACAACATCAACATTATCCAGGTCACAAAATACCAAACACTGTCTTTGCTCAGATAATGTGAATGACTATTGCTTATTTACCTGTGAGAGCTCCTGTGTCTCTCCATTTTTACTTCATTTTCTACTTAAAATTTATTAAAATAACAAATCATAGAATTAGCTTTCTGGCAGCATTCAATCCAGAGTGAACTCTCTCTTCCTTCAACTCTTCTCCAAATTACCTAATACAAGTGTAAATCCTACAGTTAGTCATTCCTAACACCTTCTCTTTAAAGTACCCTGTGGTTCTTTCATTGCAAGAAGAAATAAGCTCAACTGTGTTTGATTATAGGTGTGTTTCTGATGTTCTTTTGTGGGGGGAGATTGATGCCACATAACAAAGTTTAGTAGTACAAAGCAAAGTGTAGTAGTATAAAATTCAAAGTAGTGACTAAAGGTAAGGATTTTCAAATAATGAGTGGGTAATACTGAGACCCTGTTGGTGAGGCCAGCTTTTCTCTCTAGAAGGACTAGAACATTGCTTGAGCTTTTATATCCATTTTTATTCATTCAACCAGTAAGTCATTCTGTCATACATTCTTTCATTAAACAAATATTTACTAAGTGTATAAAATGTGCCAAGCATTGTGTTAGGATTGGAGAACAAAAAAACAAATATAGTTCTTCCTCTTATTGACCCTATAGGTTCAGTTGGACATTAATTAGCTAATTATCTACAGATCTACAGATTGAAGAGGATTTTTGCTTTATACACTAGGACATTTCCTTTGTCACCATGAAAGTAAAACTGCTCTAATCAGATGGGTATTTCTGTTTTGAGCCACTTATTCAACCCACAGGAAATAAGCAGATGTTTTATGCAATATTCTATTAAAGGATCTAAGAGAAAAGTCTCTCATTAGGGTAACTGAGATCCTGGAATAAACATTAATCATTAAATATAATTCAAGGTACAATTTTGGAAGCCTTTTCTGATTTGATTAAGCTTAATACCAAGAGTTTACGTTATTTTATTTACTAGAGAAAAGCAAGCTGGATCTCTTATTCATATTAGTTCTACAAAATATGGAGTGAGACAAAAGTTAGTCTAGGTTACAGCCATAACATATCTTTCAGTGTTTTTACTTGGTGGATTCCTAGACACTCAGCTCAAGTGATAATAATAATAATAATGTTATTTTCCTGTGGGGACAATAGGAGAAATTTCCTAGCCAAGATATGGCATTGCCAAGAGGCTAGACACTGAACTGAGCATGTGCTATGGTATGTCTCTTAACCTTTAGTCATGGATGTATTCATTCATTCAACCAAAATTTATTGAGCACCTATTAGGTTCCAGGTACTGGGCTGGGACACACATTAATCAAAGAATCACTTTTAGGCCAGGCGCATTGGCTCATGCCTGTAATCCCAGCAGTTTGGGAGGCCGAGGCGGGCAGATCACTTGAGGCCAGGAGTTTGAGACCAGCCTGGCCAACATGTCAAAACCCTAAAAATACCAAAATTAGCTGGGCCTGGTTGTGCGCGCCTATAATCCCAGCTACTCAGGAGGCTGAGGCAGGAAAATCGCTTGAACCTGGGAGGCAGGGGTTACAGTGAGCCAAGTTCACACCACTGTACTCCAGCCTGGGCAACAGAGTGAGACTCTGTCTATAAAAAAAAGAAGAAAAAAAGAATCGCAAATATAAAGTTACAGCTGTGATAAATACCAAGAAGGAAGGGCACAAGGTTCTCTGAGAGTGTCTGATGGGGAAAGTAACGTTGTCAAACAGGTTAAGAATAGTTTTCCTGGGATGATGCTAATCATGCTAAGATTAAAAAGAAGTTACTCTGTTCATAGCAAATGTATGTGATGTTATCATACCCACCTCTAGAAGAGAGAAATGCATCTCAGGTATATCTAGCAATGGAGGAGTGGGTGAGCCAAGATTTAAACCTGTCTGTGATTTTTACAATCCAGTGTGTGTCCATCACATTGTGTAACTGTGCCTCCTTCAATTAGCATGTTCTTGCTCTGTTAGAATTTTGTGTACACATCGGTTCTCCCAATTAGACAGAAATGTCCTAAAGGGCAGGAACTGTAGTTTATATAACACAGTTCCAGATACATAAGTGTAATTCTCTAAAAGTTGACTAGATGATAAATAATCAACATATTCACTGCAAGTCAGTTTATTTTAAAGATCCTTTTTTAGGGGAAGGTGATTTGAATAATTTTTGTATTGTAAAACAAAATGTCCATGAAATTTTGAACTGATACTGTTTCTTTTCTTTTCATTGAATTATAGAAGTATTTATTCAAATTCATTCTATTGACATTTAAAGTTGTATTATTCTTTTAAAATGGCCTCTGTGGCCCATAGTAATGTGAAAGCTCCTCTCTTTGTTTGATTTACTAGAAAAATCAAGGCAAAATTGTCATTTATTTTAAAGCAATTACAGATCTGTGTGATATAGGCCTTGATTCTATTTATTTTCCTGTCCCCATTTTTTTCATTTATTTATTTTATTATCTTGTTTTGTGTATTTCTTACAAATCACCTTTAATTCTTCTTGGAATGTGGCAAGACATAAATAAATACATAGTATTTTAGAAGGCCTAGCAGACTAATTCAGATTTAGGGAACTAAACTTCCATAAGACTATTATTCCCATTATCATTCTTCTATGGTTTATTTTTATTTTAATCTCTTTATCTGGGAAAAACTTAAGGAAAGCCCTTAAAAAGAAAAGAAAATAGAAAAGAGGAGCTGAAAGGGATGTCTAGAGACAGAGATATAGCAGCAGTTAAGTCAGTGTCTTGATGATGGTGATGATGGTGGAGGTGATGGTGATGAAGGGGGTTTATGGGATCATTGTGTGGGTATATTCTGTAAGACCTTTGTACCAACAGTAAATGGTTCTGTCATCTAGTTGATTCACTGCCAAGTGCCAAAATAGTATGGATAAATAAAGGTAATAAAAAATGAAGTATATGAGTAGTAAGGCAGGTGAATGAGCAAAGTAAAATGTGAAAAAAGAGACAAAGCTAAAATCTAGACAGGAAGAGGAAGAGAGGATGGCCCTTGCGTGAGGCTGATGTTTTAAGGGACTTTGTTGTCTATGTCGTATTTTCCTAAAAGAAGAATACATTCATTAATTTCCTACATAATTAATTTATTTCTAGAGCAGATGCCTGCAGAGCAAGCTTTGTGGCTAGGCTTTCTATATCTTAGAAGTTCACTGGCATCACAGTCATTCCATAAACAGCAGTTTAATAAGAGGTCAGACCTTATTTTCTCTAAAATCTCCAGGCAATTTTAAATCTTAAACTGAGCATCCCCAGTTCTCAAAACTGTTAAATCTGGTCTCATAGTAGAGATACATAACTAGGTCTTCTAAAACCAAACAGCACCTAGAAAAAACCTGACCTAAGAGAAGGTTAGTTTCTAAGTCAGATGCAAGATTTTGGCAGAACTCAGTCATTACAGGAAGATTTTAAACACAAAATAATTCATTCAGAATCACCAAACAGAGGAGACAGTACTGGTTTAAACGGAGAAAAGAACTTGAGTTTCCCTCTTGACTAATTTCACTGTCTAGTTTTATACATAGCTATACTGAAAAAACTGAAAGGAAAAATCAGGACTTTCTTCAGTGGTATTTTATATTAATGTGTGAACAAACAATCCTCATGCCATGGAAGATTTGTCTTGATTCTGTAACAAGCCCATATCGAACCATTCCCTTAAAGAGGAAATGCCAGCTAATGGTTTCCGTCAAATCACATTGTTCGTAAAAGCAGAAAGGACAAGGAGGTAGACGAGAAAAGATGGGTAAATCAACTCAGGGAAATTCCTCTGCATTATTTATTCATCAACCAATAAACCAATATTTAGTGAACATGCATGAAAGATGCTACTGAGGAGTATAAAAAAGAATGCGACCCAGTAACTTGAAGTAAGGGCACAGTTCTCACTCTTGAGCACTCTCAATCAATGCTCTATGCTTTAATTTTAGTAATGATCTTAATAACAATTGAAATCCCTTGTAAACTGTCTCATAAATTTCTTATATCCTTGGGAGAGGTATGATTTTTGCCTTTCTTTGTTACTCTTTGCTTTGGTGACCATGAAAAGGTAGGGCTGGAAAACTTCAGAATTCCTTTCCATCTCTAAAATACTGTACTATGCTATACTACAATGTAATATAACTCAATTCTTTTTCACATAGAGCATAAGTGCATGCATCCATTTTTTATTTTATTCAAATGTACTTCTTTGATAAAATATACTTTCTATAAAGAAGACCCATGTTTTCAGTGTATAATAATTTTTATTGTTCATTTAGCTAATACAGATTGAGTAAGCATTATCCAATACACTTGATTCTGTGGTCAGTGCTGGAATATAACATAGATCTTAAAATTCAGTGTTTTTTTTTTTTGTTTTTTTGTTTTTTTTTTGAGACAGGGTCTCACTCTGTCACCCAGACTGGAGTGCAATGGCGTGAACATGGCTTACTGCAGCCTCAACCTCCTGTGCTCAAGTGATCCTTCCACCTCAGCCTCCTGTGTAGTTGGGACCACAGGCACATGTTGCCATGCCCAACTAATTTTTTAAATTATTCATTTATTTATTTATTTTGAGATGGAGTCTCACTCTTTTACCTAGGCTAGAGTGCAGTGGTGCAATCTTGGCTCACTGCAACCTCCAACTCTTGGGTTCAAGCAATTTTCTTGCATCAACCTCAAGTAACTGGGATTACAGGCACATGCTACCACACCCAGCTAATTTTTTGTACTTTTAGTAGAGATGGGGTTTTACCATGTTGGTCAGGCTTATCTTGAACTCCTGATCTCAAGTGACAATCCCACCCCGGCCTCCCAGAGTTTTGGGGTTACAGGCGTAAGCCACTGTGCTGGGCCATTTTTTTTTTTTTTTTTTTGGTAGAGACAGGGTCTCACTATGTTGCCCAGACTGGTCTCAAACCCCTGAGCTCAAGTGATCCTCCCATCTCAGCCTCCCAAAGTGTTGGGATTACAGGTGTGAGCCACTGTGCCTAGCTGTAGTGGTCTTTTTTGTTTGTTTGTGTTGTTTTGTTTTTTGAAAGAGTCTCTCTCTATCACCCAGGTTGGAGTGCAGTGGCATGATCTTGGCTCATGGCAACCTCCATCTCCCAGGCTCAAATGATTCTCATGCCTCAGCCTCCTGAGTAGCTGGAACTACAGGCATGGGCCACCATGCCTGGCTAATTTTTGTATTTTCAGTAGAGATGGGGTTTCACCTTGTTGGCCAGGCTGGTCTCAAACTCCTGACTTCATGTGATCCGCCGGCTTTGGCCTTCCAAAGTGTTGGGATTATAGGCGTGAGCCAACACACCCAACCGTGTAGTGGCCTTTATTACAGCAATACACGTGACAGATTTTGCGAGGCCTCACAAAGGAACTCAGATTTTGAGAGCCATGTTCTCAAGAATTTAGTTCTAACCTGCTTTGAAAAACATTGTTAATTTCTTTATTCTGTAAAAACAACAATTAGAAAAACCATGATCTTCGTTTAGACTCAACATTACACTAAGGCACTACGAGAATGTTATAAAACAGAGAGACATAAAACTATGGTGAGTTAAACATAGTAAGAGAAGCAGCTACTTTGGGTTAAAAGAACAATGACCATGAGACAGTGAGAAAAAAGCAGGGTGGATGAAAAATTATAGATATGCTAGCCAGAAAAAAAGTCACTACTGTGTAATTATCTGTTACTAAAGGATGTGGGCCCTGTGGTTTTGGGTAGACTTGTTTGAGGCATGTTTGTCTGTAGGGTTGGCTGAAGTTGTAGGCAGGGATGGAAGGACAAAGAAAGATAAATCTCTTTGGGAGCAAACACAGAAGAAACTATTGCGAAGTCTTCCAGCTTCTGAACACTTGCAGTTTTCTGCTGGACTATCTTGTGGGCAGCTACAGAAGTTACATACATTTCTGAAGAAGCAAGCAAGCAAACAAACCAAAAAAAAAGTCCTGATGGTATATTCCCATGGAAAAAAAAAATGGGAGAATTTGCCTAGCAAACGATATGGCTTCAACCAAGAGCTGCAAGGGACCTTGCTTTGGGAAAGCTTCATCAACCTCACCTCTGGACAGGTGGGAGCCTGTTTTTGAATTCTAACACTTTCCTCAATGTCCTTGCTGCCATTTAATATTTTCCATTGGCAAGCTCTCCTTTGCAGAAAATTGTATTTTAATTGCTTTTCTGTTGGCCTCAATTATTTATTTCCTAACCACTCTCTCATAGTGGAATAATGACAATATTGCAATAAAGCAGAATTGCATGAGCCACCTTTGCAAGACAAGTCTTGTTACTGCCCTTTCCCATTCTGAAATCACATGGATTACCTGAAAGCCATAATGAGGATACTTCTCATTTTTTAAATATTCTCATTTGCCTTGAGCTTGTTCTATAATGAGGTCTACTCTGGGTCTTTCTAATCCCTCTTTTGTTTGAGAGGTCTGATTCCAGTGTTACATGTTGCCCTGAAATGTCCCTCTGAAAATTTAGTGTAAGGTGAGGTCTGGCTTTCCTGAAGGGAGACTTTTTTTCTTACTGTTACCTCGCACTCCAAGGTTGAATGTATTTTCTTAGACAAAATTGCTTATTTTTTAATGTATTCACTTAGGGTCATATTAAAAATACCCTAGTTTCTTTACTTATTTTCTCAAATGTAGTTAATTGTTCTATTTTTATAGTTTTTTATACTCCCTCACCCAACCCCAATTCTATGTTCAACTAGTACTGCATTTCCAACTCTTGGCTTTAGATGAGCGATGAGCATAGCCATGGCTTATCTCCTCCATTCTGCTGGAGTGGGCTAGAGGGAAAATGACAGGGTTATACTAGTTTTGCTGTTTATTTAATAAACACATATTTATTAAAGACCTAGGATGCGCCAGAAACCAGGCCAGATAGTTGGTTATAATGAGGAATAAGGCATGTATGTTCCTCTTATGCTGCAATGTACCCTATGGTATGAAAAGTACCATAGATCCAGATAACAGGAACATCTAACTCAATTTGTAGAGTCAGTAGGAAAATATCTGAATTTATGATATCTAAGTTGAACCATGAAGGATCAGAATGATTTTTCCAGGTAGCCATTGCCAACCATGAGAAGAGAGAAGAGTATTTCTGGCAGAAGGAACAGCATGTGTAAAGGTCAAAAGTGAGAGAACACAGTGGCTGGGCCCTACTTTGTCTTTGCTTTATTAATTTTCATGCAAGCTAAGGAACGTAGAATAGTAAACATTAATACTTTACTGTTTTATTTGGGAGGGAAAATACTTTTACCTTGTGTATTGTATTAGTCTGTTCTCATGCTGCTATGAAGAACTGCCTGAGCCTGGGTAATGTATAAAGGAAAGAGTTTTAATTGACTCACAGTTCCTAAGGGATAGGGAGGCCTCAGGAAACTTGTAATCACAGTGGAAGGGGAAGCAAACAGCCTTCTTCACATGGCAGCAGGAAGAAAAAGTGCAAAGCAAAAGGGGGAAAAGCCCCTTCTAAAACCATCTGATATTGAGATAATTCACTCACTATCACAAGAACAGCATGAGGATAACCACCCCCATGATTAAATTACCTCTTACTGATCCCTCCCTTGACACATGGGGAATATGGGCACTACAATTCAAGGTGAGATTTGGGTGGGGACAAGGAGCCAAACCATATTATTTGTAGTATAAATGATTTCCTTATCAATTGCCTATAAGGTTTGAGATCAGATTATGATTCATTTGTAGGTTCCACTTGGAGGGAGTAGTGTTCCATGGACCATGAATGCTACAGATTTAGGAGAATTTAAAGAAACATTTTAAAGGCTGGAGCAAAGATCACAAGGAGAGGGAGGGAAAGGATGAATGTGGTAAGAGATGAGGCTCGGCTGGTGAACAAGGAGCAGCTAGGCCTGAACCTTATAAGCCATGCGAATAGGTTTGAGCATGATTATAAGAGTAATGGGAAGCCACAATTTTAAGTCAATTTTTGTTGTTTAATTTGGAAAAATAGCAGCGGTTGTATTCCTTTCATCCCTTCTTCTCTTATCAAGACCTTTTCTCTAACTTAAACAGTAAATAACAGCAATACAAATGAATTGACATGATATTTTCTCCTGTCTCAATTTTCCAGGGAATAGCCCTGTGATGGTTAATACTGAGTATCAACTTGGTTGGATTGAAGGATACAAAGTATTGATCCTGAGTGCGTCTTTGTGGGGGTTGCCAAAAGAGATTAACATTTGAGACAATGGGCTGGGGAAGGCAAATCCACCCTTAATCTGAGAGGCACAATCTAATCAGCTGCCAGCGATTATAAAGCAGGCAGAAAAACGTGGAAAGGAGAGAGATGGGCCTAGCCTCCCAGCCTGCATCTTTCTCCTGTGCTGGATGCTTCCTGCCCTTGAACATCGGACTCCAAGTTCTTCAGTTTTGGGACTCGGACTGGTTCTCCTTGCTCCTCAGCTTTGCAGAAAGCCTATTGTGTGTGATCGTGTAAGTTAATACTTAATAAACTCCCATATATATATTTTATATATATGTATACACACACACACACACACACACATATATATCCTATTAGTTCTGTCCCTCTAAGAGAACACTGACTAATATAAGCCCCATTGATGATTCTAGGTTTTTTGATTAATTTAAACAAAACCATATTTAAATTATCATCAAAAAGATTTTATCAGTATCTAATTGTGGGCAGCACTTAAGGGAATAACACATACAAAAACTAGAACCATCTAGGGTCTACTGTTTAAAAACTTACGACTTATGGCCAGGTGTAATGGCTCACACCTGTAATCCCAATACTTTGGGAGGCCCAGGCAGGCAGATAACAACGTCAAGAGATCAAGACCATCCTAGCCAACATAGTGAAACCCCATCTCTACTAAAAATACAAAAAATTAGCTGGGCATGGTGGCGGGCACCTGTAGTCCCAGCTATTTGGGAGGCTGAGGCAGGAGGATCACTTGAACCCGGGAGGCGGAGGTTGCAGTGAGCTGAGATTGCGCCACTGCACTCCAGCTTGGCAATAGAGTGAGACTCCATCAAAACAAACAAACAAGCAAACAAAAACAAAACAACAACAAAAAAACTTATCATTTACTGTTCTGCCTGTGTCTTTCCCAAACTGACATAATTCCTCTGCCTTTCCTCAATCTGTTTTGTCTCATTAGGGAACTGGAAATGCAACCCAATTTTTCTCTCGAGTGATGTCAAGAGATGGCAAGGAAGGTGTTGCAACATTCTAGCCAGAAAGCTATTTTCTTCCCACTTTGGAAGGGCCTCAGAGAATGACAGAAGTGGCCATGATATGAAAGGAACAACTGACAGATTTTGATTTCTCTTGGCTGACAGCTTCATTTTAGGACTTTGTTTGTCAACGACATCCAGACCTATGCAGCTGGAAGACTGACTTCAACAAATCTAAATGTCTCTTTAAGAGTCTAAGCAACCTATTCCTTTTTTTCCAGGTACCCATTTATCTATAATTAAGTCAGCATTAAAGGGATTTCCCACCAACTTCTATCTAAAGCTGCAAAAAGGATGACTAGCTACTGCCTGAAGTGGGTTTAACAGATCCTGGGGTGAGCACTAGGAAAGCCTTCCATAGAAAAATGGCTGGGTATGAAACATGAAGAAAGATGTCATTCACATTGTCCCTCATTACTGAATTGATTATTTTGATTTGAATTTCTGAATTCTGTTCCTTTGGACAGCTCTGTTCCTTAGGATTCTGTTCCTTAGAATAGCAGGTGTTACTGCTATTATGCTCTTGAGGTTAATTGGTCCTATCATATAGATACATACATATGTGTGTGTGTGTGTGTGTATCTCCTTCCTTCCTCACCAATACACGCTCACACTATAGGCTTGATGTCTTTATTGAGAAAACATGTTACTCCTTTTATTACTGATTGTGAAAAGTAATACCCGCCTGCTTCTGCACATGGCATTAGGAGAACACCTGAACCTTCTCCCTTTGAATCCCAGGCAGAATGCGAGCTTGCATTTGGAGGATAAAGAAACACATTTTTTTCATCAGCAGAATTGGACTATTAATTATCCTCCATAGAATTACAGAGGGAAAAAAATCAACTAAGTGCAATCTGATCTCATCTTATTTGTTCTTTAATCCTTCTAAGAATCAGTCTTTGATATTTAGGACATGAGCAGAGAAGAGCAACAACAATAATGACGGAGGAGAGGACTGTCTATTTATACTCCCCCAACATTTCTTATCACTCTGAATTGTGATTTTATTTGTATTTGTCTTTCTCACCCTAGACAGGCATCTATAGAACAAGGACAGGGTCTAATTCATCTCTCTGTATGCCCAGCACAGAACACAGCATCTGAGACATAGAAAATACTCAGAGAGTATTTGTTGACTAAGTAAATGACTGGGTCTGCAAAAGCAAAAGGCATCACCCAAACAACTATTTCCATTGTATTATTTTCTACTCTCAGAAAAACTCCACTGCACTTGCCAGCAGTACCATATCTGGATTTGGAGGAAACCACACATTCTAATCCCATCAAATGGCAAATACACATTTGATTGGGCCTCTGCAAGCAATAGCCTCCTCGTTGGCCAGGGTCAGGGAGAACAGAGATTGAGAATCTGAAGGCCTGTTTTTAGTCTCTGCCATTAGCTTAGCCACCCTGGGCAAGTCCCTGAATGTAACTAAACTTCCATATTCTTCTTTGTAAAATAGAGAAGTTTGACACAGAAATATTTGATCTGGGTACTATAGGTTCATGAATGAATATCAAGGGAAGTCTGTGAACTTCCTGAAATTGTGTGTAAAATGTTATGGCTATCTGAGTCATATGTATTTTTGCATTTTTAAGGAACAAAGGGTTTATAGCTGTCATTAAGTTTTTTAAAGGAAACCAACTTTTAAAAACAAGAGGTTAAGAAACTCCTGAATAGTTAATTTTGATATCTCTTTTTTCTATAAAATGTCTACACTTCTAAGAAAACATCTAAAACTGCTTTAGCCCACAATATATATTTTTTCCTCTGATTGTCCATTCTCCCCATGATCAGTCACCACCTCAATATACTTGAAACATTTATGCAAGGCCAGGGTAAACGTCATCTACCTTAGCTGAATCTGGAGCTAGGTCTTTGACTTCTCCAAATTCCACACAGTAATTATCACAGTCATGCCCATAGTAAATATTGGATGAAAACTTTCACAGATTTATTTTATCCCAGAACACTGACTCTTTTTCCCTCCAATATTCTATGCCTTGCAGGACCAGGACCATAATTATCATCTATCTCAAAGGTGCTCAGGAGGCAGATATTAGAGGGAATATTTACTATGAATGTTCTCATAAAAGGCCAACAGGATGAGGTGATTGTCCAGGAGCTTTGAGGGCACTAAGTGAAAAGAGAGTGATTTCTGATCTACTCAGGTGCGGCAGGGAGGCCATGTGTGAAGGGAGTGCCCAGGGTCTGTGGTAGCAGCTCCATGAGTAAAAACCATTGCCTCATCATCTAAAGAAGCCAAAAGCAAGGGGTGAAGGAAGAAAATAGTTTTGTTAGTGTACCTGTATTAGTTTCCTATTGTTCCTGTAACAAATTATCACAAATGTAGTGGATTAAAACAATATAAATTAATAATCTTACAGTTCTTGAGGTCAGAAATCTAAAGTAGGTCCACAGGGCTGCAACTCTTCTGGAGGCCCTGGGGGAGAATTCCTTTCCTTGACCGTTCCAGCTTCCAGAGGCCAACTGTATCCTTTGGCTCATGGCCCCCTTTTTCTGTCTTCAAAGACAGCAGCATAAGCCAGGCATGGTGGCTCATACCTGTAATCCCAGCACTTTGAGAGGTGGAGACCAGGAGTTTGAGACTAGCCTGGATAACATAGCAAGACTCCATCTCCACCAAAAAAAAAAAAAAAAAAAATTAAAAATTAGCCAGGTATGGTAACATAGACCTGTAGTCTCAGCTGTTCAGAAGGCTGAGGCAGGAGGGTCACTTGAGCTCAGGAGTTCAAGGCTGCAGTGAGCTATGATCATATTACTGCACTCCAGCCTGAGTGACAGAGAGTGAGACTCTGCCAAAAAAAAAAAAATCCAGCAGCATAGCATCTTCAAATCTCTCTCCATCCTTCTGCCTGACCCTCTGTCATCTCTGTCATCACATTGCCACTGTCTGACTCTGATTCCTCCTACATAATTGTTATAAAGGTCTGTGACTACATGGGCCCTCTCTGGATAATCCAGAATAATCTTTCCATCACAAGATCTTTAATTTGATCACAACTGCAAAGTCCTTTTTGCTATACAAGGAAACATTCACAGTTTCTGGGATTAGGAGGTGGACATGCTTGGGGAGTCATTATGCAGCCCACCACAATACTTTATGTTGCTTGAGTCTATTTATTTATATGCTGTAGTTTTGTAGAAAGAGTCATATTCATGGAGATTATGTTCAGGAAAGGAGAAAACAGAAAGGGAATTTATGTAGCCAAGTATATGAACAAGTGGTAAGAGGCAAGAACTATGTTCCCAGAGCTGAGAGGAACCTAAAGTTGTAAATAAGTTACCAACTGCCTCTGGGAGACATAAAGAACGAAGGGAGCGTCCTCTCACTAGCAATTGATCATCTTCCGTATGTGGTGTAACATATGCGGCTATTGCATTAATGTGCCTGGCTATGTATTGGAATATTTAGTGCCTACTCACTTTCTTTGATTCAGTTTATGTCAATGGAAATGACAACCAGTTCTGGTGTACTATAGTTTGGTAGTGACTGTCTCCCACTACTACATTATAAATTCCCCATGTGAGAGACTGTATTTAATTCATGATTATGAGCCAAACTCAGAAAAGTGACAGGCATGTAGTAGGCACTCAATAAATATTTGGTGAATAGAAAAATGATAAAAATAAAAACTTTGAGGTTAAAACAGAATGCTGGTGTCAAAATAACCCAGTAGAAAAAGGATAAGCAGCTTTAAGAGTTTCAGGAGAGTTAGAAGATGAGGTCATTTAAAAAAATTCTTTCTAATAAAAATAACTCCCTGAGTTATTTCTAAGTTTGTACTCAAGACAGACTCCCTGCAAGACTAGAATCTTCTAAGAAACTATTCCTGTAAAAGATTAAAATGAGAGAGACACAGTGTAAGTCTTACTCAGAGTTTGAAAACCACCTTTTAGTATTTAAAAAGGCATTAACCATGATCATTAATCAATAGAAAGGAATGTTCACAGAATGCTTAGAAGAAATGTTTGCTAAGGCAAGAAGTCAGAGAAAACGAAGGCATCCATGCCCAAGGCTGAAGACAAACGTTTTTCTTTTGCTTCAACAAATTAAAGCTGCTAGGAAAGAACAATTGACCAGAGAGGAACATTACTGTACAGCATATAAAATACTGCCAAGGTCAGCAAAACCTCAGCTTTTTATTTATTTTTTTATTTTTCTGTGCCAGTGATTGTTGAGAAATGAGTTTCTTGCAAGCCTGACTTAGACATTATGCTCCGAAGTTACTCAACACGAAGGATTTGGAAAGTACTTTTATTTCCTTTACTATTTGATGACGAGAATGAGTTACAGACATTTTCAGTAAATCTCTGTGCTTAAAATTGTTTATAAGGCCATTTCATAATGTCAGTGTGCTTTAATTTGTTCACTCATGCTGGATTCTCTGCTTCCCCCTTTGCTTTGGGCTTCTGAGAATTATTTCCAAGCAAATAACTATACCTCCAAGATTCCCAAAGCCACTCAGAAAAAAAGAAGCCACAAGGATGCATTTTTTTATATGAAGTGACTTAGCTGTGTAAAAAGAAGCACTGTTTTAAAATCCCACAGAGTATCTTTGGACACTTATGTAAAACTTATATGTAAGTATTTTAGCTGAAGACTGAGAATCAACTGGATTTATGGGGAGATAGTCCTCTCTTTTAAGCTGTTCCATGCTTACTGTACATCTCCCAGATCAGTGGGGTAACTTGTATTATGTTGTGCTGTGTTATTTATCCTTCCACGAATTGCTGCAAAAGCTGTGTTCTGGGTCATCCCCACAACTGCTGTGAACAAGGGCATGCCTTGCGAGGTGGCATGGGTTAAGGACCAAGGCTTAGGACCCCACAGGGCAGAGAGGCAAACTAGGCTTATATTAGTATTAAACCTGTGACTTGAGACTGCATCATATTGCTTCATTCTTAAAGACTTGAAGGATTTCCATCTTTTCTACAAGTTAATCTTAGGCAGTATCATAGCTCTTTTTTGTATATGATCAAATCACTTAATCTAATTATGCCCCATTTTTTTCTTGTGATTTGAAAGCATCATGAAAACTTTTATATATGCAGGTTTATCTGTTACTACTATGAAGAATCAAAAAATTCCAAAGCCTTCTAGTTCAGAAAACGTTAGGCCAGATTCTGTAATCACCTATGTTAAAGAACAAAGCTAAACAGCTAAATCAGGAAGTAGATAATAAAAGACAGATCACATTTAGACAAAGACATGGTTACTTTTTTATTTGAAGAAAAAAAAAGTATGTTTTAATAAATACTGCGGAAACATTGACCAAACAAACATACACAGTGACTTCAACAGTTTAAAAAATGCAACAAAAGTTCTGCTTTATAACAGTTATAACTTATTTTCTTTTTACAATATTTAAATACAGAAAGCACTCGCCAGCTATTTTGTAATACTGCCCAAAGCATAATGCTGCATCAATCAAAGCATATTATGTTGGTAAAATGTCTGTATTTTATGGGAAATGACTGGAATCGAATTTTCTTGCAGAGACAAGACAAAGTGCTTGTAAGACATAGAACTGAGTGTTGTAATTACCTTAATCTCTCCTGCCACGATTTAAGGGGAGCACAGCTTCAACACTTCAAAAACGAAGCACTATCATGGGAAAGAAAGCTCGTTTTCAACAAGCGCCAACAATAAACAGGTCAGATCTGGTTTCTTCTCTGAAAGAATCTCTAAAAGGAACTGGTCAAAAATATCTGTAAACTATTTTAAATGCTTATTATTTTACGTAACAACAGAGACCAAGTGCTGAACACAGACCTTGGCTGCATCTGTTCAGTGAGGTTTTAGCAATGACACTCTAGAAATGCCCTAGTGTTATGTCAGGACTGAAAGTTTATCATATAATCTTCCACTAGGGATTCTCTAAAGCTTGGGTAAGTGGCATCTTCTCTCATCAATGTTCATTTAATGAAAAGTGAAATAAACCAACAGATTATCAGATGCTGTCAGTTTTGGAGCTTCAACCCAAAATAATAGTCCTTTTGCTTTGTATTTTTGGTAACTTAATTCCAGACAGCTTTACTCACAAACTGTGCTTTCTGCTACTATTCTTTCCTTCACTCATTACCTTTTCTGGTGAAAACAGTAACTACCTTTTTTCTCTCCTTGGATCATTCTATGACATCAAACCAAGACACCTTTTATTTGACTTTGCATTTTTATCAACGATGGCAAAAAATCACACAACTTCTAAACAGCGCACAAAAATATTACATTGAGCAATTTACCACTTTTTAATGACAATCACAATGAAGAACAGAACCATCAGACTGAATAAAAATCGACATTTTTTTTCCTATTTGATCTATGCGATCTTTGTAGTGCTGGTCTACAAATCTTGCAAGATTGCAAAGGCTTTCCTTAGAACCATCCTACTCAGCTATCTTCAGGAAGGCAAGATTTCAAAGCCTCATAAAGTTTGCCTCTGGATATATCCCATGGGTCCTGATACAATTTCCTTTTTAATGATGAGCTAGAAAGAAATTAGATCACATCCTCTAGAAAACTAAATGCTAAGGTCACAGTGCCAGTTCCCCCTTGAGGACGGTATATTAACGTATACTTTTTGTAAAGGAGATTAAAACATTTAAAAATTAAATCAAAGTGGAGATCCATGAATAGATTATAACAAAAAAAAAAAACCCAAAAATGCAAGCACCATTCAGAGTGTGATTTTTCTTCTTGGAGGTACTCGCATCCCCCCTCATCTTCCTCTAGCTCATTTGTATCTCTCATTTTTTGGCATATTTTTCAAGTCACACTTAAAAACTCTTCCATGTATTCACTTCTCATCACTTGGTCTACATGCCGAACCTAAGGTCAGGATTCCAAAAAGATGAGTATCCTCTCAAACGCCTCCTAAGCCTCTGGTATACATGACTTTGGCTGTGCACTTCATTTAGACTTCACCTTTTTGTTTGCTGTTGTTTTTTACACTAGATTCCTTTGTCTTCATTAAAGATAATGAAAGATTCACATCACAGTGCAGCTCTTCGCTTTGTCCTTTCGTAAGTCCGTAGCAACTGCCGAGAGTTCTGGTCTGCTAGGCATGTGTGAAATCCGCTTTGTGGCTCTCTGTGATTTGTTCCGCTTAACGTTTTTATTTGTCTTATTTACACATGCCAAGGTGGCAACGTGAAAAATGTCTCTGACGCTATTTTCCGACTGTAAAGCTGAGCATTCGATATAAGTAGCTGCTCCAATCTGTTTGGCCATATTTGCCCCCTGAGAAGCAAAAGAAGGGATTTTAACCAGCAATAAGACTTTGGGGGAAAGTTAGCTAGCATCTTCTAATACCACAAAATAATAACACATTGCAAAACGTTTGCTGATATGTTAACTGAATTTTCCAAGTGTCATTGCAAAAAAAAAAAGTTGTTAAAATGTAAACTGCCTTATTTATTACTTCATAACTATTTGCAGTCCAGAGCCCATCCCTAAGATGCCCAACTCTCATGGCTCATTAGAGGTGTTAGAGCTCTGAATAAATGCTAAAGGCTGATCTTAACAAAGGAAGACCCTGGTTATCAAACACTTAACATGAGGTGATTCAAAGAAGTGTAGAGTGGAGCTAACGAAGTGATTCATCTTCACTATCAACTGCAAGCAAGAGTTAACTGGTTATTCAGGTTTTCCAGGGTCACAGCAAGCATGGAATGGCGCAGAGAAGCTTACTAGTGAAGTAAGTTAGCTGAAGGTCATGAACATAAACTCTGCATTTTCCACACAGCTCTGGCCGTGGCGATGTGGCCTTGAGAACCTGTTCCAGCGCCTCATGGTGCACTTCATTTCTCTTTTCTTGAGGGTAAATGGCATTCAAGACTAGTGACTAGGTTGTACCAAAAACAGGGGCAATGAATGAAATTTAAAATCGATTTTGAAATGTATGTGATTGTGTCTTACTTAGGGCCGAAATGCGTTGAGGAAAGGAATAATACTATTGTAACATCTGTTACTTTATGAAACACAACATATGTAATTTCTAAGTGTGAACCATACCACCAACGTACACAACAATAAGCATGTGCACATTAACCAAAACTACTTATTTAAAATACCAAATTTTTTGCTAATGAGAAATGGAAGACTAAGAAGACTGCGGTATTTAAAATGATGATTCTTAATAAAATTTTGGTATTTCAACATGAACTCTCTTTAGAATCTGGTTGTAGGTTTTATGAGAATGAGCTTTTGAAACTGATTCTCATTTCTAAATACTTGGGGGAAATGCTTACAGAAATGAAGACTCTCTGAAAGATGGTGTTATGGAGTGTTCCACTTTACTGGCAACAGCCTTATTATTGTACTGCCGACTGTAAAATCAGATTACCCCTCTTAAAGAGTATTACTGATTTTGACCACATTCTCTCTTAAACCTATTTAACTTTAAACCTACTGGGAGGTGCAGAAATATACAAGGTTAGCATATCAACTGTTTATGTACCCGAATATCATGTAATTACACTAATAAATGACAGCATTTTAAATTTCACAACTGACCACTGGGTGAGCCTTTAGAAAAGCAGCTACTTTTTATTTTATTTATTATGAGTGATAGTCCATTTCTTTCACTCTTTCTAAAATCCAGTTTTGCACATGGGCAACATACATACCTGGTCATAGGACACTGGCGTCTGCCTGTGATTGGAGAGCTCTACTAATGTACTAACATCTGTCCGCAGATCAGACTTGCAGCCGACCAAGAGCATTTTGGTATTTGGACAAAATTCCTGGATTTCACCTTTCCACTATGAAAGAAAAAAAAAAAAGATTAAAAATGAACAAAGTAACGGTATCCATATCATGAAAACCATTTCTCCACTGGCTGACATTAGAATGAAACTCAGAAAAGATGTTAAAAATGGAGTGTCCCTTGAGATGAAGAAGCAAACTTTGCATTTATCTCCTGAACAGATGTGAAGTTTTACTACTTTTTAAGCATTAGAGAATAATTATGTATATTATGATTGATTCTCCCTCTCTGTGACTCATCTGTTGCTACTGAAAGAGACTTGGTAGATGTTGTCCAAAGGTAGCTTCAATAATGTCTTAATTATTGGTGTGTCTCTTAAAGATAAATGTGTCTTAAGAATAATTATATATCCTAACAAGTGACCACATCCTTCGATGTGTGGATCTGATCCTCCTTCACTAGAAGGCTGGGGATAAGGCAGAGGCAACACTAGCACAAGTATGCATTCCCTGATCCCATCATGAAACACTGAAGCATGCCACCACGAGCTGAGGCTCTATTTTAAGTACCTGAGATAGTTAATAAAACAGAACATCCTGCCTTGAAGGAGTTTCTGTTCACATGGTTGCATCAACACAGACCATGACATTTGCAAAGGAACATCTCTTGGGTCATCGGGAAGGCAGCTGGTCCTGTAGCTCATATGCCTTCAAGTTAGTTTAAAACTATTTCAATCTATTCCAATTTGTCTAGTTGTTTCATGATCTAACAAGAATTATTAGAACCTTCAGCAATGCCTGGCTTGGAATTCCAACTGTCCTCTTTAAGAACAAGCAAGCAGCTTTTTGTGGCTTCATTTCCTCAAGCTTGAGCTCTGCAACAGCATGGGAGTCAAGAGTTCAGGGCGGTCACAGGAGATCTTTGGCCTTTGAGGGCAGGGCCTAGAGAGGCTGAGATGGGGAAGTGGCGCCTGACTCTTCCCACCCACATTCACAAATATGTAAGTGTTCTACTAAGTACTGTGGCAGTGACAATGATGACTAAGACATAGCTGTGTCTTCTGGAAGGAAATTCACAGAATACTGGGGGTGATGAAGTCATGTATTAAGTATAACACTAGATAAGAGGGACATCCTGCAAGAATAACTTAAAAGATCACTAGAGGAGACATCTCCAAATCTAGGGGTGTACTTTGGGTAACGAACTCTAGTGCAAACTACACCAGAGGATTCAAAGGAGTAATATACTTTCCATAAGAGCCCATTTTGTCCACTTATTCCTCCCTTCCTCCCTCCCTCCCTCCCTTCCTTCCTTCCTTCTTTCCTTCTTTCCTCCCTCCCTTCCTCTCTCCCTCTCTCCCTCACTCCTTTCAGAATTATGTAGGAACACCTACCACATGCTAGGTGGCACTGGCATTAGAAGTGGAAGGTGAACTGGAAAAAAAAAAAAAAGAAATCCTCCCTACTTCAAGTCATTCTAACCTCCTCTTTGATAGTGAAGGACTTAAAGGGTTCCATTAATCAAGACAAACCGCAGGGGTTATCATGAGCCTTAAACCTCACAGGAATGTAAAACATACTCATTAATATCTATAAGCCCAAAGTCACTATTCATTTGGTCTTAGAAGACAAAAGCAAAATAAAACAGGAGAAAGGCTTTTCATCATAAATTATGCATAGCCTGATACTACATCAAGTAAAATCTCTAGTAAATAAGCAACCCCTTTTATCTCCAGACAGAACTAGACATGTTGTTATGTTGCTCTTCAGCTGTGTAATGACTTTGGCCTCCCTCTGCATGTCTAGCAATTGTTTACAAGCATTAAAGACAGGAAAGGTGTATTCCTGCCTGGATTTGACAAGCATTAGCATTATTTGTGTTAGATATGTATTACTCAAAATTGAAAGGAGCTAAAAAGGAAAAAAGAGTCTTTGATCTATTAAGAAAGAGATCTACTAAGAGTTTTATTGAACTCTGTTTGTAATATTTAGTAGAGACAGAAGGATTATTATACTTCAAATCCTGATTTCACAATGACACACAAGCCAAGCAATCAAATATAATAGGGGAATGTAAACTAATAAAAACACACAAAATACAAATAAATTCCACTAAAAATTAAAATGAAAAAAACAAAACCAACCTAGCCACACCTGCATGTTTGTCTTTCTCAATCCATACCATACTCAGACTGGGCTGCATGGGTCACCCCTCAGTTGACACTGCCTTGCTCTCAGCCACATCCGGTGTTGAAGCCAGTGTGTGGAGGAGAGGGAGTGCTCCAACAAGGATCTGATTCTGAAACCCCACAGCACACAGGCCAGGGCTGAGAAAATAGCTAGTGGCTAATAAATGCTGATCCATGGACTAACACGGCATGTGCCTTCTACAACTACCTGGAGGCTGAGTCTCAACTGCTGAAGGTCAAGAAACGCCCCTTCCTCCCACTGGCCTCCCTAGTTCCTGTGACCCATCCTGTAATAGGTCCTCTTCCTCTTGATCTCCCCCTGGTTCCTTCCAACCATAGCTTCCTTAGTTAGGTTCCTACGGAACCTGACTTACCTTTGCCTCCATAAACTATGTGTACATTATAATATATAACATGTTTACAAGCACTGCTTCCATATTACTAGAAAGATACCTGGTCATAATTACTAGACAGATACCTGATCATCAGACAATTCACATTGGACACATCCCTATTCCTCCTACACTAGTTCCATTTCTGTTTCTAATAACACCATAACTAAAACACAGCTTCTTTGTTAAAATAGCCATTATTGCATTCCTTTCACTATCTGACTTGAGGTCAAATGTAAATCTGTAAACTAAGATGCAATCTGTTGAGTCACTGAAAGAAGGAAGGAACACATGAATATGATAGTAATCAAATATAACTGTTGTTAGCTGTACCATTTTTCTCCCAAAGGACAAACATGAAGGCCCTTAAAAGGTATTTTGTTTCAGAGCTTCATGAAATAAAATTTCAAGCAAGTTCATCATCAAAAAGTGGAAACCCCATTTTGGTGTGAAAGGGTTCTTTCTAGTGTTTAATTACAAATTGTAAGGCAGGGAATTGATTAGAGTCTTTGAGCTTCCCAACAAACCCCACGTTTCTATTTATACATCACCCAGTACTGAAGTGTGTCATCATTTCCCAGCACTTGCCTTTTTGAGGACACTGTCCAGGGTCTCTGGTCTACTGATGTCAAAGCAAATCAGCACAGCATCCGAATCAGGGTAAGAGAGGGGGCGGACATTGTCATAGTAAGGAGAACCTGAGAAGAAACAAAGACACACAAATTTTCAGATGAGAGTCCCCTTGTCTGTCATGCATTAACTCTACCCTTTCCGGCTAAGTCCTTTGACTGTCACATCACGACCCAACTCCCACTTCCCCTAATTCTTGGAAAAGAATTCAAACAGACACACAAAAGCCTGCTTAGAAATATATGATGAATGAAGCCTCACATGTGTCTGACATAAATTCAAGAAGAGGGCCAGGATCTTAAGTGAAATCTGTATGGTTCAAAGACTAGGGCCTGAAGTTACCTGGGTGAAGTAGGGAAGCACCTGGGGCCAGGTGGTCTTGTGTGTAAACCTGCCTCCACCACTAAAAAGGGAGGGGGCAAGGTAGCTTTAGGACCCTGTGCCTCTGATTCTTCACTCATAAAATGAAGATGCTGACAACATACATACCTGAGATTAAGTAAACCCAGGCAGGGCCTGGCTTTTAGTAAGGGATCAATACGTATTAACTATGGGCATTATGGTTGTATTACTGCTGTTAAAAGCTGAGTGGTAGCAAGAACCATAAACTGAACTACTTCTTGGGAAAGAGACCAAAACTCAAGATCAATTCTGACAGCAGGATAGGGGTGAATGAGGGAGAGAGGAAGAGGAAGGGTTCAACTATGCAAAGAGAAACCACATCAGTGTTACCCATCTCCAAGATGTAAGTTTACATAGGCCATTGACCTTTGAGCTTGCTTATTTTAACTTATCGCCAAACCCTATATAGATTTTCTTCCTGTTACAATCAAGAATGTAATAAATGTCGTATAGGATCATGTCGCTTTTTTACAGAGTCCCATCTCTGAGAGTGACACTGAGGCATGATCTAAGGATCTTAACCTGAATTAAGTCCAGGGTACCCTAAAGGTTCAAGGCACCAGCCAATTAATTTAACCACAGAACTCTCTAGTCAATCAAGGAAGTTTCTTCTATTTCTTTAAGAATTCCAAAGGATGGGCAATTACATGAGGCCTATAGTTATGAAATGATTGACTAGAAAACTAAATACAGCCTGCCAAATGCCGCTTGTTTAAGAAATCATTTTCCGTATGCTGACATTTCACAAGCATCACATGAAAATGATTTTACTAGGCAAATATATACACACGTATGTATCTGACTCCAGAGTAGAAAAAGAAAATCTAAACCACCAAACTCTTTTTAAAAGTCTATTTCATTTTGACATCACTTTCCATTTTGAGCAGAAAAACAGGACATGTTGTCCCTTGATAAATCAAAACCTCAATAGGCAAAGTCAGGAAGAGAGACTTAAAAAGCAGCTTTAGAAAAAATGTCACTGTTTATATTTCTATCAAAACAACATTTGCTTGGAGGCTGTTCTTGTGATCTAAAAGGCACTATAGTCAGGGGGCATCGCCCTCTATTCACACAGTACACTCTGGGTCCCTGGCATCTGCTATGGAACCCCAGGCAACAGTGCAGCTTTTTCTCTAGCTCCTTTACGATGGAGAGTGACAACTTCAAGCCACGTGTGTCTGCTAAGCAAGGAAGAAAAGAATGTTACAAGAATCAGGAAGAAAAGTGTGAATAAATAGAGAATTAAGTCAGAGCTGTTCATGAGCTGCAGCAGCTGCCTACCCACATCTGGAACCAGGACCCTGGTAGAGCAGAGGCTGACAGCTGAAAGATATTTCCCAGAAGCTTAAAGCGTTTAGAGTTTAAAAAGTCAAGTCATTTTAAGTATGAAGGTATATTAGAATGAGGCCGTCTCTGAAAATGACAAGCTGTGGCTGCCTTTTCAGTCGCTGAAAGTACTCTGAGGTGAAGAGAATAATTCACAAATAGTTCACCCATTTGAACATTCGAAAGGCATCAGAAACGAGATGGTTGAACACTATTTATGGCTACATTAGTATTTCCATATTAGTTCTAAGAAGTTCACACTTTCTCAACTAGAACCTTTCCTGTTTCTGTGTCCAAAGTCTAACTCTAGCACGGCACCTGCTGTAAACATTTGAATGACTCTTTCCAAACAGGCAGTCAGAAAATTCTAGATCATAGAGTGGAGCTCCAAATACTGGACATATAAATGAGAGTTTCCTCTACTCCTCAAAGTCCGCGAGAGACAACCTGATCCCAGACCCAGGAAGGCAAAGCTGCCAACAGTTAGGATTGTCAGAAACCTAACGAGGCTTCAGAGATCTCCTTTCCCAGAAATCACTCACATTAGGAAAAACCACTCTCTCCCTGTGGAGAGCTTCCAGTACAAGCAGACCTGGTATCTTTAGAGAACTGTTCCAGGTGCCTACCAGCTCCTTTCAGGATACGATTTGTATGATGTTAGAGTACTCACTGCTAATTCCAGATGTAATACTGCTCTATGACAATGGAGACCATCTTTTCCAAATAAAAAAATTAGGAAAAGCGATTGAAGAAATACAAAGAGGATAAAAGAGTTTAATTAAAATTGAGACTGCCAGGAAAATCCTGAGGAATGGTTTCAACATTCAGGCCACCACATGACTGCTGGGAATACCCCTCCCCCCTTTGTGGACTATGTTTCCCGTCCCCCACCCATTTTATGGCCACAAAGGAGATCTGGCTTTGTGCTCAGCCCTGAGTCACCTGCTGGAGACTGCTACCTACTAAAATCAAGTGGGCTGGCTTCTGTGCTTAGTGCATATATCTAAATATCTGCAAAATTTAGACTCTGGCCTGATTTTAAAATGAAACGGAGTTCTCCAGTTAAACCAGATTTTCAGGGAAGTTTGTATCTGCTTTTGTTTTTATCCGGTTAACAGTATAAGTGAAAATACATATGTAGTGCAAAGGTTTATGAGAAATAAACCACCGTGCTTGTGGAGGTAGACAGGTAATTTTTAAGAGGTTTAACATGATCTAATTAGGGATGACACTTTGATCCCATTCTATTACTTTTGCTAATGAACAGTGCTGCTTTTAGATCAACACGAGTGTCCAAAGGTAATAGTAAAACTGATTCCCATATTTCTTAGTTATAAGCATAATTTGACTGCCAATGACAAGAGTAATTTATTTAAAATAACAAGACCATTTATTCACTATATTTTTGATAGGTTAAGTTTATCTTGTCTTAGATAGAAATATCTATTGTCTCTATTTATTCACAGTGAAAAATATTGATATAGAATTATCAAGAACTGTCCCACCAGGAAAGATGTAAGTCATCAGCTCAGCAGGACTTTCAGGATAAAAAAAAAAACAAAGCAAAACAAAAAACAAAAACACTCACACACAAAAACACCTCCTGTGTAACTTTACAGTGTTTACTCTGTGTTTAAGCACTTGGAATCCTTCCTTTTCTTCCCCATAAAGCCCAAGAGACTGCACAAAGGAAGTAAGGCAAGCAAAGCTGGAGAGGGCACGGTGGAATCACAGGTATGCGTGAGACAACGCATGCCAAAAAAAAAGGAAGAGGAATTCCAGAAATGACTCTGTGAAGTGAGAAGCAATAAAGAGGGGCAGAAATGACACCAAAGGAAGGAGCTGAAAGTAAGTGGGTAAAGCAGGAACAATACCTGCCCCTAACTCCTATATCCCTCCAGAAAAGTCTTACAACACCCTGTGAAGCCAAACGGCAAAAAAAAAAAAAAAAAATTAACTTCTATAGGTGTTTTTAAAAGATGCACATGAAAAACTCCCAAGGTGCTAACTGTAGAACTAAACACAGCACAAGCAGGAGGGCTCAACAATTTTTACTAAGTATGAAAGTATTCAACTTTAACTGCAGTACATGGTAGGTATTGATATACACAGAGTATGTGCTCTAGTACCTAAGAATGCACTAAAGTCCAATAACATTTAGGGACTGCGTTTGGCTTGTCAAATGAAACTCTTTTTCAGCATGTGGAATAGGCTTCATGCATATGGAAATTCTCAGATGCAGCATTTCTCTGGTACTATATGAAACTTTTAAGCTCGCAACCCTATTCCAAGGTCCTTTTTAAGTAACCTGCCACACCTCTGAAGGAAAAACTTAGGGAAACTCTATATTGTAAAGAAACAACTACACTATATATGCAAAATGTGTACCCCGCTCACCCAGAAAATATAGTTGAAAGGCTTTGCTGGGGGTAGATTGGAACAAGTGTACACTTGGGGTTCTCTGAGTTGCTCAAGTTTGGCAAACATCAGCAAAGTTCTAGAGAGCTTTTGAAATTTCAGATCTACCCATCTTTGTATTCAAGATCATTAATTCTGGGTGAGAGCAAAATTTCCAGCCAAAGAATAGTCACAACGTGCCTCACCCAGAAACTAATTCTTCAGACACATACCTGCCTGCTGAAGTCACCCTTTCGCAAATATAGAACACACCATATATGTACATAATTAAATGTATATGTAAGAAGATTCATGCCCAAAAGGAAGGCTTTATGGAACCTTTTGCAAAGTACCAGTTTAAACACTGTGAGGCTTTAGAGGAGTTGGAGAACTGAAAACTCTTCTTGTTGAATATTTCATAAATATAATTTATTTAACTTGAACCTTCATCTGAAAAGCTTCCCTTTCCCCCTTAAGAAATTTTTACCAAGAAGAGTAAGCTAAAGCTATTGCATATTTTTGGCAGAGAAAAGTAGATTAACTTTTGGTATATTTAGTGACCACCATGAGCACATCTGAACGCAGCAGCAGCTAACATGTGAGAGGGCATGATCTGCCCAATTATTACAAGATTGCATTTCCTCATGCCATCTCTAATCAGAGGAAAAGGTTTAAATTAGCAGCAATCTCAAGAATGTGAATCAAGTCTGGGCAGAACTTTTGTATCTGACTCAGTGTAAGACTGTTTAGTTCTTGTTTCAAGTAGTCTGCACAACAAATACCATGCCTGCAAATATGCAACAAACACTCCCAGGAAGAATATGTTTGTTTCTTCCATGGATTCAGGTAATAGGAACTATGAACAGATCTTATAAAATTTTGTGGGCATTTATGTGTTGCTATTAAAATGGAATAAAGATTTTCTATTTCTGGGGGCAATGTAGATACAAAATTAGAAAGTCAGACAGGTAGATATGTTTGGCCTTTAAATAAAGTTTAGCTTTAAACTCCTAATCTTATTGAGGTACTTAAAAATATGTAAGAATCAAAATATTTTACTGACAGTGGAACCATGGTTAAGTCAAGAGCTTTAGGGAAAAGAGTATATGTATATGAATATGCCTAAAAGTAAATAGGGATAATGGATTCAAGTTTTTGTTTCATATGATATCTAAGAATCAGATTTCTTGGAGTAGAATCCCATGAGTGAATTCATCTTTCCACAAACTATGTCATCAGGCTCATTTTTCAAAACCAATGTGCACAACACCTGGTCAAACTTCTGCGTCAACTACATTCCGTGTCAATAAAATGTTTGCTTTGCCAAGGGAGACTCTGAGAAAGTGACCAATATGTAGCAACTGAGAAGTCATTTAAAGGACATCAGAAAATGACTGAGCCACGACTAATTCATTTGGCAGAGCCCGCCAGGCACCATGAGCTAACTGGAGAAAGTATTGGTTCTTGGTGTCATATTTACATGCAAAAGAACTGGATTAATGAGGAAACATCTGGTTATTTCGGGTGTTATCAGAATGACCAATTTGGATGCTTCATTGAAATGTGCAACTTAGCAAGAAACCAGATTGGAAAAAAAACAGCACTAAATGCGGCTAAAAAAAAAAAATCTACAGACAGATGTAGACTTAGAAAGAGCATTCATACTGCCCCCTCCCCTTTTTAGGAGGTTCCTTGGTTTAAATGGAAATTACTGCATGGTGGACAAATCTCCAAATGCAGTTTTATGTACTGCTTATTGGAAACCACCATACAAACTATCTGTTTTACCTTAACCCAGGTCTTTTACATAAGAGTTTCAGTGTGAAAACTCGTTAAGAATTAAACCTAGTTTTGAAACCCTAAGCTCCAATGGATCATTACTACCTGATGAAATGCTTGGTTTCCTGCAATTTCACAGTTGATATTCAAATCCCAAGCATCCATGCTTCTCTGGCTCCTTCATAAATTCTTAACCTCTTCCTTTCTCCAAGAACGTTAATTTAAGTTATAATTCTCAGCTTCCAGAATCTTGTTTTATCTGAGAGCCACTAAATGTAAGCGAGTTTCCACGTGGAAGAAACGTTAAAAACTTCTTAGAACTTAGTCAACTTCTAGAAAGGAAGGGAATTGTGGTGGGCCTCAATGACCATTAAGTCATGAGTTAGGGAGCCTGGGCTGCCCTTGTGGCCTTCAAGAACTCTTTGGATCTTGTTGCTCCTTGAAAAATCCAGGTTTAGAACCTCCGGGCTCACCATCCTATAAACAGGTATTACAGCACTAGACAGGAGGAAGTCTTTCTATGTCCTCTGTTTGTCCTGTGGGTATTCAAAGAAGGTTGTCAGGGAAGAAGGATGTCTTTACCCTGTTCAAATCTCAGTCTACTGGCATCTCCTCTCACCTAAACACCTGACACTTAATCCGGGCTTCTCATTTGATTTCTTTTGTTAGTTTGGGAAAGCCTGAATATTTTAAATTTTATTGTCACTCATGTTTTCACCATGTCTGTCTTATCACATGGTGAAACTGTGAGTACCTAAGGGCAGAAGCTGCTCTCACCCAGCTCTGTACTCCTCCCATAGCATCTAGCAGATTGTATGCACACAGAAAGCACTAAACCATGTTTACTGGTTTTATAATCATTTTTATGTCTTGTCTAGATGTGTTCATTTATATGCTAAATCACCAAAAAAAAAGGGGAGGGGGAGAGAGAGAGCAGTGATCCCCTTTTAAGCTGCTTTTCTGGATTAATTATATACTAATCTCCAATACTGCTGAACCATTTCCATCCCTGTTAAGAAATATTTCATTAGAGAGCTTGTCACCAAGACCATTCTTCATACTTGATGTACAATAATCTAAATATAACAGCTTAGATAGACTTCTGTTTATAGAGAAGTTTGTCCTCATATTAAGGCCATTAGGTAACTAAGATATTTTTCCTCTCTTTTTCTCTAAGAAATAAAGGATACCACCTTAAGTGTTAGTAATGCTAAAAACTAAAATAGGAAGTACTAACTTTAGCACTCAGGGCTTAAAAGAAACTTGGATCATGACAAGATTCGAAAGAGTGTTCATGAGGCAATAGCATAGTTATTGTGGGGAATTTAGCAGCTGAATTGAATATGTTAAAAGTAATAATAAGCCTTAAATAAAATGTGCATTAACTTGCCTTGGTTAAAAAGCTGGAATGAATGATTATTACTCCCTAAATCACATGTGCTGAAATTACACTGCAATCAAATCTCTTAGGAAAAGATACAGTGATCCTTAAATGACTACATTTCTATTATTAGTAGGCATTTGGCTTCATGCTACAAATTACTTCTATGCTTGGCAAATGTGGCCAATTTTGAAGCACAAGATATTAGAATTACTTTGGTCTTACTTATTACTTCACAATTGAAACTATTACCCATTGTTTGGCAGAAACTCATTGGGTGAAATTTGAAAATCAATGGGAGCATTTCTGCAACTATTAAGAATGTTCATTTTATAATGAAAAATATTTTTTAGGAAAATGAAGAAGTTATGGGCCTTAAAAATTCCCTCTTTTAGATGATTCCTACAGCATTTTTACAAAGGTTTTGTTTACTTTTGTTGGGGGGGCTGGAGTACTGTAGCCCTAAGAATTGACTGGCAAAATGCCTTTTGTAGTTGCTTTAACTGGTGTGTGCAATGGGCGGGGGTGGGGGGGGCGGTGCGGGGGTAGCTGTTTCCTATCTGAAGAGGATCCAGAGGATCTATAAGCCCTAGGATGTCTGACAAAGGAAAAACATTGCAACCAAGTGGAAAAGGGCACTGGGGTTCAAGGACCTGACAAAATTAGGTGCATCATGAGTTGTTAATGAAATACACGCTAAACCAGAAGAGCTTCTTTTTCTCCATTACCCCACCTGAACTGTCTGCTTCTTAGGAGCAGGACCATGCTTAATTAACACTGTATCTCTAAGGTCTTGACAGAGGGCCTGTTTATAGTGGATGCGGGAAAAAAGGAAGAGATGGATGGAGAAAGGGAGAAAGGAAGGAAATATTAAGTTACTGTGCCTTAAAAAGCAGGAAATTATTTTTTTTTCTTGGTGCAAAGAGACTTCACATATCCTACTTTCACTTGGTAGTCTTTCTCACATCCAAATTGGCAGAGTTTGCCTATGCATGATCATGACTGCTGGGGGCAAAAGTAGACCCCTTATGAGAAGCTGTCCAACTAAAGAGGCCAGATAAGAGAGGAACTGTTTCTGTCTTCTAAATGGTTGCCCTTCTGCTAGGAGGGTAAACAGGACAGGAAATATCATTCAAAGGACAATGTTCATCCCGTATCTCTCCCTATATAAGAGCAGTCAGGCACACCCAATTTTTCCTATATAAGTCTCTTTCACAAAGTTCTAGGAGGGAAATAAAAAGTGCAATTTATCTGACATTTAGAACTTTACAGACTTGGCTGGGATCTTTTCTCCAGAGTTATATTGATGGCCTTTGGAAAAAATAAATGTATCAAGAGGCATAAGGCATATGCAATTATTTTTACAATCTGAACTAAATAAATGTTTTAGTGGGCAAAGAAAATGTCAAACATTTACCAAAAAATAGTCCTGTCCAGAAATTTGCCATGAAAAGCTTGGAATTAAATGGAAAAATGTTAAAGATCCTTGAAATAATTAGTTGCTGATTCAATGGTTCCTGCTAGATATAAACAACAAATCACTTTTGATGGAAACAGGCTATTCTTAGAATTTAAGTAAGCAGTGCTTGGTGACTGTGTTTAACTAACTAACATTTCACCTCATGAACAACATAATGGAATTCTAAATAATTCCCTTATGCCTCTTTTTTCCATTTGTTTAAATCTAAATTCTAACTAAGATTTCATTACCGGATAATTTTGCAGTACAAAATTTTCTTCATCACATTTTCAAACCTTTATATTTTAGTTAAACATACATAAGTTTTGGTTTCATTAAATAAAAAGACAAGTGATTATTTCACTACAAATTCATTTCAGATGATTATCTTTAATTCGATGAAAGGCAATGTTTATAAAGTTGCCATTCTTTGTGCACAGGTAATTCAGTGTGAATAAATGTCAGGGAACCTCATCTCCTTGGCAACTATGCATATCATTACTCATTTACTCATTCATCAGATTTTATTGGATAACTGCTGTATGCAAGGCATTGTGCTATGTGTGCAGAGTCTACGAACTGCAGAGTTTTGATTAAATGCATGAAGATACCTGAAGTGGTATTTACCTGCACATACGAAGGACAGCCTCCAACTACAAACTGCCCACATTTTGGTTTATGTTCTAGCCTTTATCAAACAATGTGCCTTTTCTCCCCTAAAAGAATCAATTTAGCCCTTTAGGCATCTATTCCGAAATATCCATTGGTGGTCCTGTCACTCTTGAAGCTTGAGATAGGAAATGTATAGCCCAGCATTCCTATAAGCCCACCCATTCCCCCTCCCTGTCCAGATGGGTTTCATTCCTAAATCCACCAGGAAGCCTGGCTCTGCCCAGAACCTGGCTTGCTTTGCAGGCTGTGAAAACCCCAGCACGGGATGCCAGATCCCCTAAGACTAAGAGCTGAAGCCAACCAACATCCTGGGAAACAAAAAGACCTGCCTGTCCAGCGTAATAAAGCCAAGAAGTGTACAGCTGGGAGAGATCCTGCACATCATCTAGCTCAGTGTCCTCTTTTTACAGATGATGAAAATGAGACCCAGGGAGATAGGGGATTTGCACACAGAAATCCATGGTAACCAGGAGCTAAGATCTAAACACAGCTTTGTATCAACGACTGGTTCAGACACACTGCTCCACCCCGTGCCAAAATAATTTTTATCGTGCATTAGGTCCAAACAGGGCTGCCGGTTGGGGCAGGGAGTACTGGTGCTTATTATCGGTACCACACCAGCTGTGCCATCCAGTAGGCATAACAAATACATACCATGATATGTCTGGGAATCAGAGCCCATTAAGTACCAGGCTGTAAAATAATTCTGATAGGAACTACTGAAATAAGGAACCACTTGAATTCTGTCTACCAACACCTTCTCCAGAGTTTCGAGTCTGTGTACCATCCCCAACAGAAAACACGGCGGCAAAGTCCTGATTCTGCTGCCCTTGGAACGGCTGAGAAAGAGCCTGACTCCAGGGGGAAACAAAATCAGCCCTTCTCACTGCAGCAGTCGGAGCATCTGGCACCGACCATGAGAGGCGCTCGCTCGTGCGAGACTTCTCGCTTGCCTTTGTGCTGGGACTGCCTCTGGCGACCCTGTCAGTCTGGTTCCTTCCTCTTGCTCTCTGAACCCCCGCGTCCCTCGGGGGCTCCAGCGGTTCAAGCCCAGCGGTTCTGTGGGAAGCTCACAGAAACACCTCCACGAGGCCACTCCCCGCTGGGCGCGGCTCCACCTCGGGGCCTCCCCGCCTAACAGCAAACCTGCTTGTTGGCACTTGCGCGTTCCTCCTCGCCAGTTTCACCCGGATTTGGCTCGGTCCGCCAGCAACCCAGCTCCTTGCTAAATTCCCAGCCCTAAGCGCAGGGGCCTTTACCCAGCCTTCCCAGTGGGTCCTGCTTTTCCATAGCCGACACCCTTCTTGGAAACAAACTCGCTAGACACCGCTGGTTAGGGCGGCGGGTGCCTATGTCCCAGCCCAAGACCTCAGATGGTGCCCCCCTGCCACTCCCCGGCCTTTGACCTGGCCTAAACCCCTAACTCAGCCGGGGGGCCGGATGCCTTCCCACCGGGAGGGTACCTAGCCCTCCCTACCACCGCGCGCCAGGTAGGTGGGTGGGCGCATGGGAAAGCAATAACCCGGCCTTGAACCTCAGACCCATGAATATAACCCACCGCGGCGCCAATAATTCAAGTAGACTGGAAGGTCAAAGGCGAATAGTGTTGCCCGCGGCCTTGGAGGCAAGCCGAGTGGGGGATGCAATAGAGGTCAGGAGGGGCTGGTGTGGTGAAGGGGAAACGGACGTGATCACTGGGATGGAGTGGGGGAAAAAGGGAAAAGCTCGGTACAGGTGGGCACCGAGGCACCGCGGGCGGCCGGCAGCGCGAAGAGGAGGTTCAGCTGCTGCCCGGCCCCTGCGCCACCAGCGCATTCCTGGGTGTAGGCGTCACGGGCGCCGCGGCTGCCTGCGCTCAGTTTCTTTCCCTCAACAGCGGCAATTGCACGTAACCGCGTCGCCTCTGGGATTTTCTCCCGCCTCCCATCACCCCCGCGGCGCTCCCCGCCTCCCCGCCAACCAGCAGGTTAGATCTAGGAGGGGCGCCCGCCTTGAGCCGGGTGGTTCCGCCGAGGCGCACGCAGCGCCCATGCAACACCCCACAGTATCGGGCCACCTCGGCCGACCCAAGGCGACTTGACCACGACTCCGCGGGCGGACTGCGCCTGGCCACTAGTGGCTCCAACCGCGGGGTCACCCTGCGGGCACACAGCGCTCTCCTCTCCCCACTGCTATCTCCTCGTCCACGCTGTCGTCTGCCGCCCCCACCCAGAAGGGATACAATTTTCGCCCAACAGGGACCGTGGGAATCCCTTGGGAGGGGCGCAGACGGCTTGTAGCGCGCGGTTTCCCGAGACCCGCCGCGCATCCCCCAGCGACTGGAAACCCGCCCCAAGCGCCACGCGGTCCTCCCACTCTTACCCGAAGTGTCCCACAGGCTCAACTCTATTCTTTGTGTGTCGATTTCAAAACTGGCCGTGTAATTCTCAAACACTGTAGGAACGTAATTCTGGATAGACAAAATGGGCAAAAGAGGAAGGAAAGAGGGCAAAGAGGTTACGTTTAAACGCACGACACCCATTGAACACCCTTCCCCTCCCCGCTCCCCAGTTAAGAAAGAAAACCTTCACACATCAGACCACACACTAAGCACATGGACCCTTTCCGAAACCCCTGTCCTACTCCCCACTCACCCCACCCGGCTCTCACAGATCTGCTGACCCGAATCTCCCAACCCCAGGTTATGCACACAGGAACGAACAAGTTTCAGGAGCTAACCAGCCCATGTGCAGGCGCGTCCCAACCCTAAAAGCTTCCAGCGCACTTTCCCTTTCCCCGCAGTCTAATCAGGGGAAAGTAGTAAGGACCGAGAAAGACTTTTTTTTTTCTTTTTTTTTTTTTTTAAGGGAAAACGGATGAAAGCGGGGAGGCCCACCTCGGGACTGGGATCCCACTGGCCGACCCCCTCGTGGAAGCCGCGGCCGGCCACACTCACCTCGGGGAAGCAGTCCTTGGCGAAGACATGGAGCAGCGCAGTTTTTCCACACTGACTGTCTCCCACCACAACTATCTTGCATTTCACGTTCTGATTAGGATCCATGATAGATTTGCTGGATAATTTCTGGCTGGCTCTTCTCTCCTTCATTGATGTTGCCTTATTTTCTCTTGGAACAGGAATTTTCTCTTAAGAAGAAAAAAAAAAATATATATATATATATATATTTCTCTCTTTATAAAAAGCAGATATAAAAATAAATCACAAGGCTGATGGGCAACCTCTGAAACGCGGCGCAGACGAGGAGGAGAGCGAGAGGAGCAGGCTGGTTACTCCCCTCCAACAAGTTTTAAGCCTGACTCCTCACCGCGCCTCCCAAGTCCAATTCCGAGCCGACTGCTTTGTTTCACGCTCTCTGCGCGGCTTTATACGCCCGGCCTTCCAATCCTCTTCTTTCTCAATGAGAGGAGGAAACTGATCTGCCTCCTCCCCTTTTATGGAGCCTGGGAGCGAGCGCTGTTGGCGTTGCATGCCGAAAATGTAAGCAGTGCGCCCTCTAGGGTGCCCATTCGGGATCTATTTTAGACCAAGGCTCTTAGACAACATGAAGATCCCAAAGATGCTTTGCTGACAAGTCCACAGGGCAAGGTGGGAAACTGGTATCTGTGCATACTGATTTGAACTACAATCCCTTTAAATATAGTTTAATAGGGGCTTATCTGTAGAAGCCTCATGAGCATTTATGAAAACAAAAACATTTCCCACCCAAGTTAAAGGACAGTGATAAAACATAGGAAGCAAATCTTGGGTGGAGAATAGTTGAGTGGTTCTATTTTTTTTTTTAATGGTTTGTATCAGGTACATAGGCCATGGACCAATAGATCAGCCTCTTTATTCCAGATGCAAGAACAGGCTTGCCTGGGTCACGGTAGTAGACTGGCTTCTGAAACCTGTCAGTTTCAGTCGTACAAGTGGAGGCAGAAAGGTTTCGAGGGGTGGGTACAGGAGGTGGGAGGGGAGAAGAAAGAGAAGTGGAAGATGCCCATGACTGAGTGACAAAGGCCATTGGAAACTCAACCCTACTGCGCTAGGGACCCAAACACTTGTCAGCTTAGTTGCACCTCCCCACATTTGCAGTGAGGGGACTGGTGGGGGGGCAGATTTTGATACTATTAATTCTTTATCTATAGCCTCCATCTTCCCGGAATCAAAGCACCCTAGACTGGACTCAGAAGGCACAAACATCTTTAGCTGAAAAATGCAGATACAACCCTCCACCCTCTCTTCTGTCCTCCTCCACATCCATCTCCCTAGCCCTCCAACTCTTCCCCGCAAGCAAAAATCTTAGAAAGGACCAGAATAGCCCGCACATTTGTTCTTTTTCTATGAGAAGTCTTTCTTTTTCTCATCTTCAGCTCCTGCACCCTAAATGCTCAGGAGGTTTCAATTGTTACAATGTAGTAGCACACTGGCCAAAACCAGCTTATATGGTCCCCTGTGGAGACTCCTAGGCTTGTAAATGAGAAGATAAGGTGAAAACAAACAAATCAGAAAGTTTAACATGGGAAGTGAAAAGGCACAATGAAGAGTTGTCAAAAGCACTGATGTAAGTAGTGGACTGGTAGGGCCCCTGAAGCCTAGGGGATCCAGGAATGATGTCCTATTTGGGGCTGAGAAAATTGGAGCCCCCTCAAAGATCATTGACTCAGACTCCATCGGTGGGTCTGTGTTTACACAAGGGGAGGGTTGACCCACAGAGAAGCGGGTTGCTGGCCCTGCTAGGGTTCCTAGAGCAGCCTTTGCCAATGTTTGTTCTTCTGAGCTTTAGTTCCCTCCTGACACAAAGGGTGCCATGGCCCAATTAGTGAGGGCGACACTGTACCCACATCACTCACTGAAGATTCGCCAAGCACACTAATGTTACAAACATTTAAAAATCCCAGAGAAAAGCAGACTATTTAACATAGTTTAACCTAGCATTTCCCAAAACTACTTAACACAGGAAACATTAATCAAATTATTCACGTTTGTTTACTTGTTTAAAGAGCAATGGGCATAGTAGTTGGGGCAGGAGATCACAAAGAGGTGTATTTGGGTCCCCAACTTCACATTTTCTGTATGACTTTGGATGGATTATTTAGCCTCTCTGAGCCTCAATTTCATCATCTGTAAAATAGGAGTCATAATGGTAATTATGAGGAAATGCAAGTGACGTTTGCAGAATGGTTTCTGGCACAATAAAGAGTCCTTGACCTGTGTTATAGTTTGCATGTAAAATCTTATTTGCACTTTTCAGAACTGTTGAATGTGTCTTGAGAAATTCTGGCTTCATTGGTGGACTCACTAATTGGAGCTGTGTCCATCCTATCTTTTGTCTTATTTTTAACTTAATGAAATTACCCCTTTCCAGAGATATGATTTGACCTCCCATATTTCAGAATTGATGTAGTTTATATGGTTAAATCACTTTAACAGAAATAATTAAGAATGTTTATGAATTGGCTGATCAATGAATAGGGTAACCACATAATTTATCATCTAAGCTGGGATTTGAGAGCAAAAGGGGCACTACCAATGATTGTGGCTGGACAACAGAGGTAAACAGGGTCTATCCCAGGCAAAACAAGATGCATAATCACTTCACCATAGAATCATCTGGAATCATAGTGGATGACTATTTTTGGAAATCAGGTGACCTGAATTTCCAGGAATCTGCCAGTTGCTGAGCAAAATTTAATGGATGTATAACAGAGTAGAAAAACCAACTGCCTGAAGTCACCAGGATTTGAATCCCTCTAGGGTAAACATTCTTCCTTTTCCTTTTTAAAATCTCTAGTGTTCAGTGTGAAGTGGATACTTAATATATTTTAAAATTCATCTAACATTTAGTTTAACAATTACTTACTCAGCATCTGCTGTAAACCAGGCACTGTTCTAGGAACTGCAGATAGAGCAGTAAACAAGACAGATCTGTTTGCTACTCTCAAAAAGCATACATTCCAGGCAGGAGATAGACAGTAAATAAAGAAGTAAGATCACCCCATGTTTTTCTTCATAGAAAACATGGCACGGCATTATTAAAGCATAGTAAGGTAGGGATCAGACCCATGGTCCAGCAGAAGGATGCTCACAGACAGTGGAAAGGTTACAGGCTGGAGGGAAAGGGCTTGGTAGGTTTGAGGAATAGAAGAAAGGCCAGAATGACTAGGGCCTGCTGAAGGAGGGAGAGTGTAGGTCGGGGAGCAAAAGGAAGCAGGCAGGGGCTGAATAATTGGCTGTAGAATTTGGATTTCATTCTCAGGGTAATGTGAAGTCAGTCATGGCAGGACTTGGAACAGGGTAGCAGCATGATTACATGAATGAATGAATGAATGAATGAATGAATGACTCCAGTTCTTCGTCTGCACTGTCACTCACTAGCTGTGAAACCTTGATGAAACTGCTCATCTTCAATGAGAATATGGGATCCAAGTATACCTAAATTCCTGGAAAAGACTAAAATTTTAGACTGCAATAAAAGGTTTTCCCCTAAGAAACACGTTCATTTAGAAAATGTGACGCCTTACCTGGGAGGATCGTATATTACCTAGCGTGCTTCCTTTTGTGATTCTTGCTTGTCTTCCTATTACTCTCTCCTTTTTCTCATTTATCCTTAAGACCAAGAGAACAGAAAACCAATAGTAAATATTTCTCTATGATTTAGTTAATAGAACACATTCAGGTGCCCTAAAAGGTTTGAGTTCAAAAATTATTTTCTTTGTGGCTAACCCTTTACTTACCAGAGGAAATCTCCCCTCCCATAGAAACTACATACCCTTTGACACAAAAAGGGCTGATTCCAGGCCTGGAGAGAGAACCAATTGAGAAAGAGTACCCATCTACTTCCCATCTAGGGATAGCACAAGACTGATAAACAATTGTTTCTGAGATTTGAGTGACTACAAGTCAGGGACTTGGGTTTTAGTCCAGGCTAAACCAATGAACTATCTGTCCTTGGGCGAACACTGACTAAATTCTTTTCCGCAGTTTCATCCTTATGTGAGGATGATAACATCTGCCTCCTTTAAGCTGCACAATAGCACTGCTTAAAAAATCACGTGCCCTGCACTTTCCAAAATTATTCTTTAGAAACACACTAAAGGCACCCCCCTTTTCATGTTCAGTGTATTTATGGAGATCTTGGCCCACAGTGGAATATTGTAAGGCATAATCCCAATAGTTTATTCACAGTCACCTGCCTCTCTTCAGACTCCAGCAGAAGTGTTTGAAGGAGCAAGTGCATAATAAGGAGGAAGCACAGGTTTCTTATAGGCATCATCAATGGAGCAGAGAGATGGCTGACATCAAAGCAAGAAAACGTGCAGGATGCCTTCATAGATGTTATGTCACAAAATATGGATATGAGTCATGGGCATTCTCTTTGAGAATTTAATAAGATGACAGATATTAAATAGTTTCAAATATAGGCATTTCAATACAAAATTAAAGACAAGCGTGTAAACTTGTAAACTGCTCTGTACTGAAAGGTGGCAATTTCACAATTGTCTCTTTTTGGGGTGGTCAGAAGAGGGTGATCACTCAGTCTTATAAAACATCAACAAAATAGAAGGCATTTTTTTTTGAAGTGAGGAATTGAGGAAAGAACATTCATACAATTTAATGGATTGAACTGGTTATTTAGGAAGAATCTGTTTTCTTGGAAGAGAATCTTTTCCTTTATTTTCTCTTAAAATTATGCCTATTTGCCCTCTCAAGGACACTGCACTAAGTTGTCTAGGCTGTGTGGTAAGAGCACTCCAGTCTGGGTTGAAACATTCAGCCTTGTTTTTTCTCATGAATGCTAACTGCGAATATGATTTAACTGCTGCTGTATTGACTTAGTCCTCACTCTTTAGCCAAGAGGAAATGACACAACTTTGTGAGTACTGAATAATAAGTCATTTTGAAATTGATCATCCCTTTCTCTGTTTATAGTTAATTTAACAAATAGTCCGTTGCATTCTTTAGAAACCCAGACCACATGATTTTGGTTCTGTGTATTATAGGGCACAAATAACCCTTTCCACCTGCCTCTTCAAATTTCAGATCTTTGATGCCTGATGCCATTTGTTTATACTTCAGTATTTCCTAAGTAAAGAAAACAAACAAAAATATAAAACTATCAGACCCATTGATTACTTTATCTACTAAACACCCAATTATACTTTATGTCAATTTGTCAGTGAGATATGAAAAATATTTAAGGAATTGCCCTAAGAAAACATTTTTAAGGATGAGTTCTTTATACATTATTCTCTTGAAGCATGTAGTATGTTCCAAAGATACACCTTTTCCAGTATTTTAGGAGTAGTCAAAGGAAAACAGAGATTATTACTGAGCACCATTTAGAACTTCTTTTGGAGACTGCCAGAGCTTCACTGCCAAGCTGATGAGATGCACTGAGGGGAGTTATTTATGGCTATGTGCACAGTCAAGTGGCATTTAATATTTTAATCTAAGGCTTAAAAGAAAGATTTAAAGATGTCCTATCAAGTTTCTAGAAAGATCTTATGTGGAAATTTTTGCCCCTTCTGTTGAAATAACAACAACAAAAAATGTGAAAACTTGGTTGAGGTCAGTGTTACTTTAATTAAAAAAAGCAGTAATTGTTAGATCAAGCTTACTTAAAAAAAAACTTAGTAGCCACTACTTTAATATTATTGAACTCAAAGTGAGGAAACAGAAAACAATGGCTAGGATACCTTGAAGAGAGTCATTAGCTTGGGCAAAGGCAGAGAGTAGATTTTAAAGCATTTAACTCAACATGTTCTGTAGAAGAGTAGTTGTCAAATACGTTTGGGCCATGGGCTACTACTTTGACTGGCAAAACTAACCAACCAACAAAGAAAAAATACAGATGATCTCTAGGACACCATACCCAGGATGAGAGGGGAGACTGCAAAAATTTTGATGGCAAACCTATAAAGAGATGTCTAAACCTTGTACTCTGTCATATTTATTTAAAAGTCAGTATTATAACTTAAATCCTGAGTAACCTGTGAACAAAGGTTATAATGGCTCACTAGCGTTTCCTGGCACTGAATTTGAAAATCATTGCTCTAGACAAGTTGTTTATTATTATTATTATTATTATTATTATCATCATCATCATCATTGAGACGGAGTCTCTCTCTGTTGCCCAGGGTGGAGTGCAGTGGGGCAATCTTGTCTCACTGCAAGCTCCGCCTCCTGGGTTCACACCATTCTCCTGCCTCAGCCTCCAGAGTAGCTGGGACTACAGGCGCCCGCCACCATGCCCAGCTAATTTTTTGTATTGTTAGTAGAGACGGGGTTTCATCATGTTAGTCAGGATGGTCTCGATCTCCTGACCTCATGATCCGCCCGCCTCGGCCTCCCAAAGTGCTGGGATTATAGGCGTGAGCCACTGCACCCGGCCAGTTTATTATTCTTTTGGTGGGCGGAGGGTAATGTTTCCTTTTGACACAACTGATTTGACTTCAGCAGAGCTGATTCAGTAATTCAGATCATAGTTTCAACTAAATTGGTAGCAGCCAGCTACACTTACCAATCAGTTTATGACTTACCTGATAAAGACAGTAGAAATATGACAGTATTGATTCGTTCTTTTTGTCACAGAAATGGGAACAAAATTATTTTATTTTCTTTTAATTATTAAAATACTTTGTTTTTATTTTAAATTATCTGGTTAAATTTTCTTTATATCCAGGCTATATAATAAAACCCCAAATCTTATTCTTTCCTTTGAAGGACACCAGTTTGGGGGAAGAGGGCATCATGGAAAATATACCCAAATGCTCAAAATAGCACTCAAGAATATCTAAGGTAATGTAGATCTAGATAAGGCTTGCAACCACTTATTTTTGAAAAAGTATGTCAGGGAGAAGAAAAGTATTCTTTCATCAGTGGCCGACAATAATCTTGCATTCTATAAACATCTTCTAGTCTTGGGGGTCTGCTGTGCCCTTTTCCATCACAAGCTCCTAGTAATGCTCTCTGAAAAGCTGTGTAGACTTAGTCCTCACTGATTTTTACAGTGCTAGCTGAGGTATTACTTATTGATAACTGTTGGATATGATTATGAACTGACTGTTAACACCTTAACACTGGCCACATAAGCAGAGGTCAAATGATTCATCACAATCTGATTCTGGCTCTTATGTAAGACATTTCTGTAGGTCACGTCGTTGTTACCAACCCATGGCAGACTGGCCATAGATTAAAGGAATATGAAAGCATTTTGATGCCATTTCTGGTGACTAGGAAGGTATATAAGTTATATGAGAAAAAAAACTACTGTCCTGTGCTTTAAAAGCAAAGAGGAGGTCCTAATACATCAATAATACAATTTATCTTAATTCTAACAGAGCAAAAAGCTATCGTGAGGACATTGTATGAAGCCATTGATCTTAATAAATATTTACTGAGGATTTATGCCAGTACATTTTGTTCAGGCTTATACAGCCTTCATGCTGCCTCTAAACGCCCCATAGTGCTTCCACACTGTCACAGCTACACTATGGAATCAATCAAATGACTGCTTTCCTGAGTACCACATGTCATCAAGTCCCACATATAGAAGTCTAAGTTAGTAATAGATGAAGTCACTCATGGCTCTTAACACATTGGCACCAGGGCACATAAGGTGGTTCATGTAGAATTAAGACAGACATATGAAACTGGATTTTGTGGTACATCAGAAATCTTGGCATGGTGAGGAAAGGAAAAAACCAAGAAATGTGAACGCATTTTTTTTATTAAAAAACAAGAATCAAGCATCTTGTTTTTACTAAAAAACAAGAAAGGCAAATATTAGCATTCCAAAAGAGAAGTTCATTTATTATAAACTACAATGGAAGTCGTTCAACTTTGATGCATTTTCCAAAAAAGCTAACTAGCTGTTGCTCAATTAATATATCTTGGGAACTTTCCAAGAATGGTGCTTCCCAGAAAAGTCTGAAATACATGAATTCATATTTTAATTTTCCCCCCAGACTTTTCAGTTTGCATTTTCAACAGTCTTGTTGAATGCTTCCCAGCCTATGTTTCTTGGTCCTCCTTCTTCTCCCCTGCTATTCCCTGCTAAGCCTCTCTCTGTTTATGTGCCTTCTTCACAACACCTGCTTATAGAAAATTAACATGGAAGTCCTGGAAAACCCTTCCATTTTAATTAACATGGAAGGTGAGGTCAAAAAGCATTGGAAAAAAGAGAATCAGAAGACTTTGCAGTTTTCTGGAGCTCACCTACCTGAGATTGCCTATGGACTATAAGACACCTTGAGTCCTCCAAAACTGGCTGATGTGGATATAATTTTTCACAGGGCTCTCAAACATTCCCCGGTGAATAAATAAACTCTGGAAACTGCAATTCTAATCATAAAAGTCTCTTTCTGTAACAGTCCAGAATGGCTGGGGCATAGGCTAGGGCATGGGTGCAAGAATAACAGAAATCCTCTGGAGAGCAAATTATTTGGGTAATTCCAGGTCCCCGATGTTCACTGTTCCCATATACACAACAGCCCTGGAGTCCTTCACTACTGTGGAAAAAAAATTAGTTTGCATTAAAATATAAGCAAAGTATTAGACTGCAAATTCAGTCTTCCAAAGGAAATTTGGGATGTAAGCAAGATCTCTACGTTTTCTAAAATTACACAATGACTGCAAAAAATGAGGTTATAATTTGGAGAGTAAAATTTTGCTTGTATCTTGAAAATGTAAATGATCCTTAAATTCCTTCCAGAAAAAGAAAAAGTCAACCTTATTACAATGAGTACAGTAATCGCAAATGAATTTTTGTGCTCACGTCATGGAATAGATGCATGCCAGTTGCATTCAGTGATGCACTGCATTCCACTGTCTGATTTTAAAACCTCTGTAGGGAAGTTGCTGTAAGAAACTGAAATGCAATTTCCTTGCAATAAAATTCTTTCTTAGTCATGACCCAGCCCTAAAGGGTTATGGGCTCCGGCAAGCAGTTAGTTACTCACTCTCTCCTTTCTGGTCTAAATTGGGTTGGAATATATATCAAAGGAAGCCAGAAAGTGGTTGGGGAGATTAAAAAAAACAACAACAACAACGTTTAGACTGAATGTCTTGACGGTCCATCCATTCACTTCTGCTTTGAAAATGGTGAGTAATTACAGCTGTAAGACTCATACAGATACAGTGACTTCACGTGGTGTTAGGAGTAAGGATATTTGGATTTTAGCCTGAGCTTTCCACTAACAAGCTGTGTGTTCCTGGGCAAATATTTAACCTCTCTGGGTGTCAAGTTCTCCACCTGTACAGTTAGTGGGCTGACCTGGAAGACCTCTGAGATCTTATATGGCTCTCATATGCCGTGGGCTATTACTTAGATTGTTTTTTAGCTCAATTGAAATAATTGTATCCTCTATTGCCTGCCTCCCCAAAGCTCACAGCATGCAGGCTCCCAAATGCAAGATTTGGGGCACCTGCTTCATTTTCCTAGGCCCCAGATTTTCTGCAAGCAGTTCTACATTTGGGCTTACGAATTCAACTATATGACATGTTGAGATCATTGGTCAAAAGGCATTGGATTTCTGTCTTATCTAGATATTTATAAGGCATTGAAAAAATTCATTCAAATCCAATTCAAAAGAGTAGATTCTAACGTGGGCAAGCAAACTGGTTTCTTCATATGCGCACACACAAATACAACTGCATAAATATGACATACCATACATGCTAGATTTGGGGGTTTGAAGAGCTTCTTTTTATACTTTATGTCATTGAGGTACAGATCTTGAGTGTACCAACAAATGAATTTTGACAAATGTGTATGATCCTGTTATCAATATCCCAAGCAAGACACAAACCACTGCCCAGAAAGTTTTCTCATGCCCCTTCCTAGTCAAACTGTCTTCTTCCAGGAACAACAATTATTATCCCCACAAATTAGTTTTGCCTATTTTCTTTTTTTTTTTTTTTTTTTTTTTTGAGATGGAGTCTTGCTCTGTCTCCCAGGCTGGAGTGCAGTGGTGCGATCTTGGCTCACCACAAGCTCCGCCTCCTGGGTTCACGCCATTCTCCTGCTTCAGCGTTCCCAGTAGCCGGGACTACAGGCGCTCGCCACCACACCTGACTAATTTTTTTGTGTGTTTTTTAGTAGAGACGGGGTTTCACCGTGTTAGCCAGGATGGTCTCGATCTCCTGACATCGTGATCCGCCCGCCTCGGCCTCCCAAAGTCCTGAGATTACAGGCGTGAGCCACTGCGCCTGGCCCGGTTTTGCCTATTCTTGAACTGGATGTATTGCATAATATAAATATCTTGGGTAGATGCATTCATGTGATTGCATGTATTTTTAGTTTGTTCCTTTTTTGCTGAGTAGTATTTCATTGTGTGAACATACCACAATTTGCTTATCTATGCTTCTGTTGAAAGACATTCGGATTAATTCCAAGTTTTTATGATTATAAATTAAGTGGAGTAACAATTTCTTTACACAACTTTTTGGACATCTTTTTACTTTTGTGTGTAAATACCTACAATTAGAATTGCTAGGTCAAAGATTATGTGTATGTTTAACTTTAAGAGAAATTGCCAGTTTTCCAAAGTGGTTGTACTATTTTACTTTCCACCAGCAATATGTGAGTAATCCATAGCTCTACCTTCTCTCTGACACTGAGTAGTTTTAATCTTAGGAATTCTAATGGATATATGATTTTTTTTGTAGTTTTAATTTGCATTTCCCTAATGTATTTCATATATTTTCATGTGTTTATTGGCTATCATGAATATTTTATCCTGGTATGTGGCTATACTTTTTTTTTTTAATGTCTTGAATTTTTTTTTTTTTTTTTTTTGAGACAAAGTCTTCCTCTGTTGCCCAGGCTGGAGTACAGTGACACAATCTTGGCTCACTGCAGCCTTCTGCCTTCCGGGTTCCAGCGATTCTCCTGCCTCAGCCTCCTGGGTAGCTGGGATTACAGGTGCATGTCACCACGCCAGGCTAATTTTTGTATTTTTAGTAGAGACAGGGTTTCACCGTGTTGGTCAGGCTAGTCTCAAACTCCTGACCTCAGAGGATCCGCCCGCCTCAGCTTCCCAAAGTGCTGGGATTACAGGCATGAGCCACCGCATCCGGCCAATGTCTTGAATTTTGATAAGTCCTGTTTATCCACTTTTCCCTTTATAGTCAGTACTCTTTGCATTTTGTCTATAAATTGTTGCCAGATCATAAGTTCACAAAGATAGTCTCCAGTTGTTTATTTTATAGATTTAAATTTTACATTATGTCTATAATACTTCTCTGCTTAATTTCTGTGTATCATATAATAAGTTAGTCATATCTCTCACTTTTTCTTGATATGGATATCCACTTTATCCACCCTCTTTTGTCGAAAAAAATCATTTTACCAATAAATTTTATTGACAGTTTGTAAAAAAAAAAAAAAAACTTGACCATAAATGGATGGGACTGTTTCTGGGCTTTGTTTATTATACCATTAATCTATTATCTAGCCTTCTATGAATACCACATTCTCTTGATTGCTATAGCATTATACTAAGTCTTAAAATTATGGAGAGTAAGTACTCCCAGTTTGTTATTCTTTTGCAAGAGTGTTTTACTGATTCTAGGCCTTTTACATTTCTGTTTAAATTTTAGTTTTAAAAAATATTCCTGCTGGGCATGTGATTGGAATTGCATTGAATCTATAGATTAATTTGAGGACAGTTGGGATATTCACAATATTGAGTCTTGTAATCCAGGTATATGGTATATCCCTCCATTTATTTATTTATTTTTAATTGAAAAAGTATGTTTATTTGGGTAAAATCAAAGTATTTATCAGTAAAGTCATCTGAGATGTTCATATAAAAAGACACTATAGACACATAAAATATCATTATTGTTATTATCATCATTAATAGCTAGCCTGGTACTTTAATGATTTTCTTTTTTTTTTCCTTGTTCTCTTTAAAAAAAATTTTTTTTATTTCCATAGGTTTTTGAGGAACATGTGTTTGGTTACATGAGTAAGTTCTTTAGTGGTCACTCCTGATATTTTGGTGCACCCATCACCCGAGCAGTATACACTGAACCCAATTTGTAGTCTTCTATCCCTCACCTGCCTCCCACCCTTTCCCCTGAGTCCCCAAAGTCCATTGTATCATTTTTATGCCTTTCCATATTCTCAGCAATATTGTGTAGTTTCCAATGTACACATCTTCCACATATATTGTTAAATGTACCCCTAAAGTATGTTATGTTTTGTGCTATTGTATTTTAATTTCCAATTGTTGATTGATAGCACATAGAAATAGAATTGATATTTGTATATTTGTCTTGAATTCCCAAACTTTGATCAAATCATGTCATCACTTCTTATGTAGTAGATCTAGTGGATATTATGGGGTTTTTTGGCTTTTTTTGTGGGGGTAGATTCCTTAGGATTTTCTTCATATACAATCATGTCAAAAATGAAAACAATTTTAATTCCTCTTTTCTAACTTTTATGTCTATTGCAATGATTAAGGCAAGTACAATGTTGAATCAAATTAGTGAAATAAACATACTTTTTATTTGTCTTAGTGGAAAATGTTTAGTATTTCACCATTAAGTATAATGTTAGCTGGAGATTTTTCATAGATTCCTTTTATCGTATTGAGGATCCTCTATCCCAAGTTCGCTGAGAGTTTAATTTTGTTAAATGCTCTTTCCATATCTGTTGAAATGAACATGGGATTTTTTCCTTTTTGATTTACATACAAAAATCAACAAATTAAAGTTTTCTCAAAAAGTTAATGAAATTGGCTGGGCGCGGTGGCTCATGCCTGTAATCCCAGCACTTTGGGAGGCCGAGGCGGGCAGATCATGAGGTCAGGAGATCAAGACCATCCTGGCTAACATGGTGAAACCCTGTCCCTACTAAAAACACACAAACAAAATTAGCTGGGCATGGTAGTGGGTGCCTGTAGTCCCAGTTACTCGGGAGGCTGAGGCAGGAGAATGGTGTGAACCCGGGAGGCAGAGCTTGCAGTGAGCCAAGATCACGCCACTGCACTCCAGCCTGGGCGACAGAGCAAGACCCTGTCCCGGCCTCGCCACCAAAAAAAAAAAAAAAAAAAAAGTTAATAAACCTCTAGCAAGATTAAGAAAAAACAAATCACAAAATATCAGAGTCAAGAATAAAAGAGGAACTACCACCACAGATCCTACAGACATTAGAAGGATAATAAAAAAATATGTTATGAGCAGGTCTATGCCAACAATTTTGACAACATAGATGATTTACATTGATTGTTGTTTGAATGTAAACCAATACTGTATTTTTTTTTTTGACACAGTCTTGCTCCAGGCTGGAGTGCAGTAGCATGATCTCAGCTCACTGCAACCTCTGCCTCCCAGGTTCAAGTGATTCTCCTGCCTCAGCCTCCCGAGTAGCTGGGATTGCAGGCATGCACCACCACGCCCAGCTAATTTTTGTATTTTTAGTAGAGACGAGGTTTCACCATGTTGGCCAGGCTGGTCTTGAACTCCTTACCTTAGGTGGTCCACCCACCTCGGCTTCTCAAAGTGCTGGGATTACCGGCATGAGCCACCATACCCAGCCCAATATTGTATTAAGATAAGCACTATTTGGTCATGATGTACTGTCCTTTTTATATATTGCAGGAATTTAGTTACTAATATTTTGTTAGGGATTTTTTCTTTGTATGTTAATGGGAAATATTGCCTTGTAAATTCTTTTGTAAGAATTTACAAAAGAATCCCTTTTCAGATTTTGGTATTAGGGTTATATGGCCTCATAAAACTAATTGAGATGTGTGCACTACCCATCACCACCACCCCCGACCCCTGCCCACCGTCTACTTTCTAGAAAAGTTTGTGTAAGGTTGATTTTTGTTTCCTTTTTCTTAAATGTTTGGTAGAATTCACTTCTAAAGGCACCTGGCCCAGGAGATTTTTGTTTTGTTTCTTTTTTTTTTTTGTGGGAAGGTTATAAATTACAAGTTCAATTTTTAAAATATGTACACTATTATACAGATTGTATATTCCTTCTTTTATCATTTTGGAAATTATATTTTTCTTTTTTTTTTTTTTTTTTTTTGAGACAGAGTCTTGCTCTGTCTCCCAGGCTGGAGTACAGTGGTGTGATCTCGGCTCACTGCTACCTTCGCCTCCCAGGTCAAGTGATTCTCCTGCTTCAGCCTCCCAAGTACCTGGGATTACAGGCGTGTGCTGCCACACTTGGCTAATTTTTGTATTTTTAGTAGAGACGGGGTTTCACTATGTTGGCTAGGCTGGTCTTGAACTCCTGACTTCGTGATCTACCCGCCTCGGCCTCCCAAAGTGCTGAGATTACAGGTGTGAGCCACTACGCCTGGCCGGAAATTGTATTTTTCAAGGCATCTGTCCTTTTCGTCTATATTGTCAACATTGTTGACAAAGTGCTGTTCATAATATATATTTTTATTATCCTTCTAATGTCTGTAGGATCTGTGGTGATAGTTCTTCTTTTATTCTTGACTTTGATATTTTGTGATTTCTTTATTTTTTCTAAACCTTGCTAGAGGTTTATTAATTTTATTAACTTTTTGAAAAAACTTCATTTGTTGATTTTTGTATTATTTGAGATTAATTCATTTCTGTTCTTTACTTCCTTTCAATTACTTAAAACAATTTGCATTTCTTTTTACAGATTTTTAAGGTGGAAGAGATTATTGATTTTAGAAATAACTGTTTTCTAATATAAGCATGAAAAGCTATGAATTTCCTTTTAAGTGCTGTTTTAGCTGTGTCTTACAAATTCCAATTTGTTGTATTTTTTATTGCTCAGGTCAAAATATTTTCTAATTTCTTTTGCGATTTCCTCTTTGACCAATGGATTATTTAGAAATATGTTGCTTAGTTTCCAAATATTTGGAAATTTATTGATTTTTTTTATTACTGATTTTTACTTTAATTCTGTTGGGGGTCAGAAAAAATATTCTGTGATTTCCATACTTTAAAATTTATTGAAAGTTTGTAATATTGTCTTTTTTGTTAATTTTTTTTTTTTTGAGAGGGAGTCTTGCTCAGTTGCCCAGGCTGGAGTGCAGTGGCGGGATCTCGGCTCACCGCAAGCTCTGCCTCTTGGGTTCCCACCATTCTCCCACCTCAGCCTCCTGAGTAGCTAGGACTACAGGCGCCCACCACCACACCCAGCTAATTTTTTGCGTGTGTTTTTAGTAGAGACAGGGTTTCACCATGTTAGCCAGGATGGTCTCGATCTCCTGATCTTGTGATCCACCTGCCTTGGCCTCCCAAAGTGCTGGGATTACAGGTGTGAGCCACCATGCCCAGCTGTTAATATTATATGTATGCTTGAAAAGAAAGTATATTCTGCATCTCTTGGATAACAGACTAGATAAAAGTCCATTAGATCACATGTTGATGGTGCTGTTCAAATATAATATAATGCTATTGGCTTTAAAAAATCTACTTGTTTTATCATTTGCTAAAAATGAGGTGTTGAAGTCTCCAGTAATGACTGTGAACTTGTCTATTTCTCCCTTTAGTTTTGTCAATTTGTTTTATGTACTTTGAGGCTCTGTTATCAGATGTAAATTTAAATTTACACATTTAAATTTTTTTGAATAAATTCAACCTTTTATTATCATAAAATATTTCTCTTTATCTTGGACATTGACTCTTGTTTGAAGACTATTTTCTCTGATATAAATGTAGTCACAATGGCTTTCTTGTGATTAGTATTTACATGATTTTTTTTTACTTTTATATTGTTTGTGTCTTTATAATTAAAGTGGATTTCTTATTGATGGCATATAGTTGTCTTGTGTTGTTACCCATTCTGATAATCTCTGTTTGTAAATGGAGTTTTTGAGCTCTTTGTATTTAATGTAGATTGACAGAGTTCAGCTGGCTATAGTTTTTATTGCCTTTTTTCCCCCTTCCGTGTGAAGTTTTCTTTTGTCATATATTTTCTAAATAGATTCCTAGGTGTCATACTCTCAGCTTGAGCTGCTTTCTATCTCTCAAGGAAAGGAGATCAATGAAACATATTGCACTAAATAGAAGCAAATAAACTGGGAAGTGTAAAATAAGTCAGTTGGGTACATAGGTTCTAGGGTGGATCACACAATTCATGGTCATTTTAAAGAGAGGACTTATCAGAGGATCAGTGTCAACACTGGTGGTTCTTTTCCAGGGCCAGCACCACCCCTGACAATGCTAAATATTTTCTTTGTTGATTTGTGGGAATAATAATTAAGGAAGTAAATGATGTATTGTTAGATGGAAAGGTTAGCCAATTGTTGTGCAGATCATATACATAATGATATGTTGGAGGAATAATCATTAGTAAACAAAAGGCATGTCAATAAGTATATCTTCAGCTGATGCATTGAAAAACAAAGTTAAACATTTCAAAGCTCATAAAGATGAGCAAGATTAGCAGAAACAAAACATGTTGAAGTCAACATGGATAATAAAATGATTATTTCACTGCAGGAGTCCAATAATTTGAAAACACTATTTTGAGACTACAATTCAGACATAGTAGTAAAACACTTCAGAATAATGACATTACTTATATACTTAGCACCAGCATACTGTGTCCAGTTCTGGATTCCCTGATTAATGTGGGGGAACTACATAAATTCAGAGAAGAATTAGAACTTTGATTTTAGATGCACAAGAATAATTACAGATAACTGTCAAAACTTCACATTTAACTGATATTAAGACTCAGAAAGGTTGAAGCAAGTTATTGGAAGCCACATAGTTAATATATGGCAGAATTGTGACTACAGCCTTGACTCTTAATCTCTTGTCTATTGCTCCTTCCAGTTCTCAATGTGAATTAGTAATTCTGAAATTAAAGGAGATGAGAAAATATGCAGGGTAGTGAGATTATTTATTTTAGAAAGAAAATGACAGCTCAGATACAATATCTATCATTGGATTAGTCTGTTCTCATGCCGCTATTAAGAAGTACCCGAGGCTGGGTAATTTCTAAGGGGAAGATGTTTAATTGACTCACAATTCCACAAGGCTAGGGATGCTTCAGGAAACTTAACAATCATGGCGGAAGGGGAAGCAAACACATCCTTCTTCACATGGCAGCAGGAGAGAGAACTGCCAAGCAAAGGGGGGAGAGCCCCTTATAATAGCAACAGATCTCATGAGAACTCACTATCACAAGAACAGCATGGAGTGTAGATAACCACTCCCATGATTAAATTACTTTCAACTGGATCCCTGCCATGACACGTTGGGATTATGGGAACTACAATTCAAGATGAGATTTGGATGGGGACACAACCAAACTATATCAATTATCAAGCCTATGAAATATTCTAATTTAAAAGATAGTGACTAGACATTCTTTATCTTCTTTAACAAAGAACTTCATTTCCACTGAGGACTAAACAAGAGGAAATGCACAAAAATGTGCAAGAGGCAGAATTTAAGAAACACATGAAAGAACTATTCCAAATAGGAATTATTACTAAAATTAATATGGTAGTATATAATATCTGGTCCCCAGAGGTTTGATTCTTTTAAAAATTAGGATATAGTTTCACCTATCTAAGATGGTAAAACTTACAGATAAGAGAAGTAAACAAAATATTTGTTCAAAATCCCTAAAATTTCGTACTAGATATTTTTATTTGCTCGTATTTTTTGCTTGTTTCTATTTTTCTTGCAAGATCATTCCAAGAAAGATAAACAAAACTTGAGGTCAACTGAATGTTCTTGGTCTTAGTACTATCTAATGCCATTCCTAGAGTGAGCTGATTTCCTGCTAAGCCTTTATTGTGATATTACTGCTTCTATCTTTTATTGTAAACTACAGAGTTGTGGTGTTAAGTGGGAGAATTTACTTAAGCATTCATCTTGGCTGACCAAAATGTGGTCACAAGATTTATTAGAGAGTGTGATATTGCTTGTCAATGGCAAATGGAATTTTTGATAAATACTGTAGCAAAATTTTAAATTGTCAGATTGCTAATGATTCAAAATAATAACTTATTATTAGTTTATGGGAGAAATAAGATCCTCATGCCACAAACTACATAAAAAACTAATTAAAGCTAAATTACTTGTAGTGACTTTTGCTTACATGACAGTTTTAAAATGAAAAGCAAAATCAAGTAACATTAAAATCTGTATTACATAATTTAAAAGATATATAAACTGGAACAACTTCAATGATCTTAGAAATTAAAGATTTCTTTTTGTTATTTATCTTTTCCCAGAAAAGAGTCCCTACTATGAGTAAAACAATACAGCATCTTTGATAATTAAAAGTAAATTTAAGTTCTTTTATTTTTGTTTTTTTGAGAAGGAGTCTCACTCTGTCACCCAGGCTGGAGTGCAGTGGTGCAATCTCGGCTCACTACAACCTCTGCCTCCTGGGTTCAAGTGATTCTCCTGCCTCAGCCTCCAGAGTAGCTGGGACTATAGGCACATGCCACCACGCCTGGCTAATTTTTTTGTATTTTTAGTAGAGATGGGGTTTCACTATGTTGGCCAGGCTTGTCTCAAACTCCTGACCTCATGATCCACCCGCCTTGGCCTCCCAAAGTGTTGGGATTACAGGCGTGAGCCACCGAGCCCCGCCTGAAGTTCGTTTTTAGACAAATACTTTCAACCAAGAAAAAGAACTGTGTTTTAGTTTATTTCGAGGTTGATTCTTTTCTATTAGAGTGTTTACAGATAATTCTGACAAAGGTCACACAACAAAAGCATTATTTTTCTTCCAAGAATGCACCTCTGTAAGAGATAATAACAAAATGAGAATCAATGAAGGGAAAAAAATGTTTGTTTTCTTGAATATACGTGGGGTCCATATGTTACCAAATTTATAAAGAACGAAAAACATTCACTCTATAACATCTGGTTGTTTTGGGTGGCATAAGTGTTTTCAAAAATATCTAATATTTTAGTTTTTTTTTTCCATTGAGGAAATGTGCACCCATTTTAATATATTCTAAAGTATTGTGCTATGTCATAGAATCTGTGGCATTCATGTTTTAGGCCCAGTTATATCTCCATATAGAGAGAGGAATTTTGTGTAGTTGACTGGATAAAAGCTTGAACAATGGAGTGAATATTTGATGGAGAGCTGGTTTCGGATTTTGACTCTTCCTCTGAATGAGCACTGTGGGCGAGTCACTTAACCTTTCTCTTCTTTGTGCTTGTGGACAATGGCTCAATTACATTTTTTTGATTCTGGTAACAAGAAAAGTAACATTCATCTCTGACTTACCTAATATCTTTGCTTGTCCCTATGCTTACTCACTGTGAGAGAGGGCAGAACACCCTGGCAAATGCAGGAAAGCTTGGAGTGACCACATGGCAGCCCTGTAGGATGTCCACAGTATTCTTCCACCCTGCAGGGGACACCTATACCCGTCTCTATTTTGGACAAAATGAATCTTAAGAGATCATCTTTAATGGTTGTAAATAGATGAATATTGCCATTGTTCAGTTTAAAACTATACATGTGGTAAACATTATCTGAATATTAATTCCACAATGCCTTATGATAATTAGAACTACACCAGAGTAAGATCTTCCCTCCTGCAACCTAATAGAGTGAATTTTTTAAGATGGTACTATTTCCAGACAGTCAAATATTTCAGACGCAATAGCACCAGATCTATTTTGAGGACTCCCATGAACTTCCACAGCATAATATTTTATTTACTTCTGATACTTTTAATAAATATGGAGAATGTCTTAGCTCAGACTGCCATAATAAAATACCACAGACTGCATGGTTTAAACAACAGAAATTAATCTTCTCACAGTTCTGGAGGCTGGAAAATCAAAAATTGAGATCTGGCAAGGTTCAGTTTTTGGTAAGGTCTATCTTCCTTGCTTGTAGTTGGCCACCTTGTTAACGTGTCCTCACATGGCCTGTCCTCTGTGCATGTGCAAGGAGATATTTCTCTCTCTCTTCCTCTTCTTAGAAGCCCACCAGTTTTATTGGATTAGGGCCCCAACTTGGTAACCTCATTTAACCTTAATTACCTCCTAAAGACATTATCTCTAAATATGATCACATTAGGGGTTAGAGCTTCAACATATGAACTTGGGATAGAGGAGGGCACAGTTCAGTCTATAACAGAAAATAAATATGGAGATTTATTGGCAGTGTCTCAACTGCTGAAATCTTTTTTTTTTTTGAGATAGAAAATTACTTAAATGTGTAACTAAATGTGACTTGATCTTTAAATTTTGGTAGTGTTTTTAAAGATAAAATACTTTTGTGTCTTTGCCCAGCTTTGACAGACTTTTATATTTACAAAATACATTCAGATATTTCATAGATTAGAAAACAACCTTTGTGACATTACTAGCTTTTGGGTTCAGAAAATCACCATAGCCTTAGAGTGCCTTTATAAGAACTACATGAGGTGCAAGAAACATCAACATGATATACAGTCAGAGAGATTGAGTTCTGTACCTTCACTATAAAAATTATAAAACCGAGGTTTAAAGAAAGCCACAGGCAAATTAGCAACTAAGGCACTTACACAAGCTTGACCAGCCTTCTGACTCTCAACTTCACCTTGCTTTCATCAGTACTCCGTCCAGCAATCTTTCTTGCTTCTATCCAGGTTTTTTTAAAGTCTAGAATTAAATTTAAAACTCTGCTGCAGGATGCTTGCCAACGTAACCTGGGTCTATAGCTGAGCAGATTTTTATGCCTGTGAAGTGGTAGCACAACTTTGACTTTATAAATTGATCCAATAAATCTGAATTTCAAAGTAAATAGAGATTCTGAGGAATTAAAAAGGTCATAAGATGACCTTATTCAGAAGAATTATGTAATAAATATGACATTATTGTTGGCAGGTTTAATGCTCATCAGATGGACTATAATACTGATAAAATATTGTATAGGTTATTTTATGAAATACATTGATAGCAGTTAAGTAATCAACAATGATTGTCACTTATTCAGTACCTATCAGGAACACAGCATTAAATAGAAAAATGACACAATGACTCTGCTTCCCAAATTGCAGACAACCTTTCAATGGCACTTAAAGTATTTTAAACAAATATGAAATATATTCATTGTCTCATAAACTAAGGATGTTTATAACAAGAACAACATAATTAAAATTGAAAATAAAATCACAAATATTGTAAAACTAGTGAATATTTTATTATATCCCAAACCATTGTAGTGCAAACTGCCAATTTACTACTCAGTACAAGTCAGACATAGGGGTGAGGTGGAACCAAAGGGAAGGGAAAGAGGGATGCTAAATAAATGCTTGTCCTTTGGGATGCTGAAATCCACCTGATGTTAGCATATTAATTTGCTTAACCACTGCTGGTCTTTTACCCCAGCCTGAGTGCCTCAGTGAGATAGCAGAGAAAGGTAACTCTCTGCTTTCACAGTGAGTTGTAAAATACTTTTGCTAATAATAGTGTAGATAAGTGCCTGGTTCAGATGGGGTTAGAGCAAGGGCACGGAACATTCCAGCTTTGGGTGGAAAAAAAATCTCAGTGGTGTTACTGAGCCCAAATGTCATATAAACTGCTGAAAAGCAATAATTAAACTTACACCTTTAACTTTGTTAAATCAATTATCTAAAAAGCTCCACCCCTGTGGAAAAAAATAAACCAGTGTGAGTCGGCTGTTGACAACTACAGTGATTACATGGGACATGTGGTTTGAGATTATTTGGATTAAGAACAAATTTTATGTGTGCAGTGTTCAACTACTCAGGAAATATTGTGATTCTTCTAGACATGTTCACTCTTATATGATATCAACTTATCTCAGATAAAACCAAAGGTGTCCCCAGAAGGGCATCAAATCATACTTTATAGGTCTATGTGTTTATAGGTCTATGTGTTTTTTTAAAAAAATTAATGTGCTTTATATTAGATCTTTTAAAAATTATTTAATTTTTGTTTTATTTTATGGTGATGATTATTTTTCAGAGACAGGGTCTCACTCTGTTACCCAGTCTGGAGTACAATGGCACCACTATAGCCCACTGCAGCCTCAAACTTCTGGGATCAAGCAATCTTCCCACTTCAGCATCCCAAGTAGGTGGGTAGATGATAAAATAAAAAAGTTCTGAATTATGAAACTTCCCTAAATGCTACTTATTAGGAAAGTATTGTCATATAGGGCAAGTAGAGGATAGAATGGACTATATTGAAAAGATGAAGATTTTCATAGGCCACGGCAACAAACCTCAATATAGCAACTGTTTAAGAAACCAGAGACCTCATTCAGTCTTGAAGAAAGAAGACTGATGGATAAAACAGCCATGTGTTAAATTCTGCACCTCCTGTTGAGGTTATGGAGATTACAAAGAAGAATCTATGACCCTGTGCTTTCCTTTGATTTATCTAATAAGCGTGCATGTATGTGTGCACATGTTTGAAGTCTTCCTTTTTCTTACATCTCAGAGTCAGCACCTGCCTCTTTTCTCTATATGGGTTTGTCTTTTAATGTGGATTATAAGATTCTCTAAGACAAGACCATACCACTACGCCTGCTGTGATACAAACCTATGAGGAGTGCTCAACATATTAGACCAGCCTATCAACGATTAGCCTCCTCTCTGGAAGCAAGAGTGGCATTTACCAATTGATTTTTACCAGACAACTGAAGAGTCATCTTCTTCCTAGGAAAATTGATTATTTTTATCTAGAAGAGATTATTTTTCTAAAGAAGAGTTCACTCTGCGTTTGCTCTGCTGAATTGGCACTAAGAATTATTCAAGTCCAAAAGATGACTAGTCTCCGGTCACCTCAAGTTCTGTAGATATACCACACAATTACCTAGAGGCATCTCAATTAAGTGAGCATGACTGTCCCAATTAGGCAAGAGTCCTAACTATTAAATATCATTAGACTTAATTTGATGCCCTGGGAAAACTCTTGTTGAAGCCTATCCCACTAAGGGCAGAGCACTGTCTGCTTAAATCCAAAGTAACATGCTCAGGACACACTTCTACAGTGAGGTTTATCAAGCCTCAAATAATATAATTGAGGATCACATTCTCCAGGTTTATAGAAACATAAAACATGAATGCTGAAAAGAAATTTGAAAATATTATTGCATTTGATCCTCTTACTTTACAGATGAGGAAATAAAAGCCTGTGAAGTTGTGGTTAATTAGTTCAGAGGAATGAGACTAGATTTTAAGCCTCCTGACTCTTCCAGCCAAGGGCTCTTCATATGATACTGTCATTCATCCTAAGCAATGTCAGCAACTGAGGCACATGTCTAAAGCAATGACCTCTTAACATAGTTATGTTGTTGGCGATGGTACCAAAATCATAAAATTACAATACTTTGAGTTCTAATTAATGTTTAACCTTAAGGAAGCCAATCTTACTGCATCTGATTTTTGTTATTTGTAAATTAGAGATAATTTTGTCTATCTCATGAGGTTGTGAAGATTAAAGAAAATGTTGCATGACAAGGTGCTTGTAAAAGGTAAAGATTTCTGTAACTATAATGCTAAACTGGAGGTGAAAATTTGTCTTTAGAAGCTTATCTGTGATTTTTGGTTCCAAATAGCAGATCAAGTACGTGTGTTTATCTCTCTCCTATCACTCTCCCTCACCCCATGAAACCTCACTAAAATAGTAGTAGAGAATAAAGAAGATAAAATCCCAAACAGTAAAAAAAAAAAAAAAAAAAGATAGGGGTAGATATCAACAGACAAAGAACTTGTAACAGATTTCTGAAGACCAACAGAAAATGAAGGACTGGTTGTGGGTGATGCAGTTGGCCAGTGGACAACACAGCCATGAGTTCATGTGGAGAGATCCATGACCCTGGCTGGAGTTTATCCTCACTTAAGAACTCTGAAAAGGATTAGGCCTCAGAAATGGAAGACACTACTAAAGGTAAAGAAAAAGCTGTGGAAATGACAAAAGAAAAATTAAATTCTGTGTATAACCCAGTCGATCTCCAGTAACAAAATGCCTGGCATCAAGGTATCTACCCACTGCCACTACCACTGTCACTGCAACCACAGCAACCAAGGACTTTTCTCTAAAGAAGCTGAAGTAACTATTTGGGGGAAATTAGGGTAGATGGTGTGGGAGTTGACAATCCACATCAAAACTCTCTGTACTCTGCCATTTAGGGACACCAAAGCATGATAGCTCATTCCTTGTTAGTTCTTCCTGGAGAGAAGGCTGTTGGTTATGGAGATTGTAAAGAAGATCCCTGCTTCTATACTATCACCCAGAGTGAAATTTTATGTTGCCTTGTTCATTGATATAATAATAATATTATTCATTAATATAATAATATATATTATTAATATAAGATAACAAAGAAAGAAAGTTTTTGTGGAAAACCTATAGCATGAAAGAGAAAGAAATAAATAAAAATATTAACCTCAGAGAAAATAAAAGAATCCAGGAAACAGAAAAGGATAAAACAAAAATCTCTAAATAGTATTCTTAGATATATTTAAGAAGATGATATTGTCCATCAAAAAAAACACAAGGATAGGAAAATGGACAGAGAAAAAGAAAGAGCTTCTGGAATTTAAAAATTATTGCTGAAAGGAAAAGAAAAAATAAAGCAAAATTTATAAAAGAAGTATTTAAGTAGATAAAATCTTTTAGAAAACAGTCAAATGACTGACTATATATGGAAAAGAAAGAAGATATGTGAAAAGATTAACAAAAGATAACTAACCCAGCAAATATATTATCCAAATAATGAGTTTCAGAAAGAAAGAATAATAAAATCAGATGAGAAGATATATTATCAAAACAAACACATTTCTTGTAGAGAAGGACATAGACATTCGTATTGAAGGAACTCAACAACATCTAATAACATCAGTGAAAACCACATATGTAGGAGCATCTGCTGGAAATTTCAGAACACTTAAGATTAAAAAGAAGTCTCTAAAAGCTTCCAGAGAAAATATATGTAAATTTAAGTATATATTATACACATATACATACACACAAACACACACACACGGTTGACTCTGAAACAACATGAGGCTTAGGAGCACTGACCTGCATGCAGCCAAAAATCTGCATGTAACTTTTGACTCCCCAAAAACTTAACTACTCATAGCCTACTGTTGACCAGAAGCCTTACTTATAAACAGTTGATTAACACATATTGTGTATATTATATGTATTATATACTGTATTCTTACAATAAAGTAAGCTATAGAAAAGAAAATATTAAGAATATCATAAGGAAAATATGATTCCAGTATTCACTATTCATTACGTGGAGGTGGATCATCATAAAGATCTTCATCCTTATTATCTTCATATAGAGTAGGCTGAGGAGGAGGAGGAAGAGGAGGTTTTGGTCTTGTCTGAGAAATGGCAAAGGCAGAAAAAAATCCACATATAAGTGGACTCATGCAATTCAAAATCATGTTGTTCAAGGGTCAATTGTACATACACATATATACATGTATATATATCTAGATAGATGATAGATAGATGATAGATAGATAGATAGATAGATAGATAGATAGATAGATAGATCACTCTGGATATTATAAGCCAACAAAACAATGCCTTCCAAGCTGGAAATGTGATATACAAACGAGCCAAACTATCAAACATGGTATCAGAATAAAACTCTGAGGAGAGTCAACCTTCCAAGCAAACTTTCCTAGGAGTTTTTGTTGTTGTTGTTGTTTGTTTTTTGAGACGGTCACCCAGAGTGACAGAGTGCAGTGGCTGGAGTGCAGTGGCGAGATCTCGGCTCACTGCAGCCTCTGCCTCGCGGGTTCAAGCAATTCTCCTGCCTCAGCCTCCTGCGTAGCTGGGACTACAGGCGCGCAATGCCACGCCTGGCTAATTTTTGTATTTTTAGTAGAGACAGGGTTTCACCATGTTGGCCAAGATGGTCTTGGTCTCCTGACCTCACAATCCACCTGCCTCGGCCTCCCAAAGTGGTGGGATTACAGCCGTGAGCCACTGCGCCTGGCCTTTCCTAGGAGTTTTTGAGGATACTCTTCAGCAAAAGGAGGGAATGGACAAAGAAAAAGAGGTGGGAACTCACGTAAATAATCTATCCAAAGCAAGAGAACAGTTGAAGGAAGTCAAAGAAGGACAGCTGCTCAGCAGGCCCACAGAGCAACCAGGACAGAGGGAAAGAGGAAACAATTCTTATAGGATCACTCCGACAAGGGCAGAAATGAAACTACAGAGAATAAATGATAAAGGAAGAGTTTGATAACAATTGAAAATATGATAAAAGCAAATGGTTCAAGAACAAAACAAGCAAAAGTATCAATAGAAAAGCTTACACAAAAGGAAATTCCAATGAAAAATGTATAATTGTGCTAATATAAATAACTATTATTGATTTTCAACCTTTAGAAAAAACCTAGAGTCACAGCACAGAAAACTTAACTAGGCTTATAGAATATAAACTTCCCTGTGCTTTTTGGATATTATGGGCATGTCAATGTAAGAATGAAATTATAAATGATAGAAATTGGAAGGTTTGTAGCCAGGGAAAAAAGCTGTAGGAGATGGTGGAAATGAGTAATGCCTCAGCTGAGAAAGTGTGGAGTCATAAGATACTTACTGTCTTTGGTTGAATAAGAAATAAAAAATGTAAATATAATTTTTCTTAGAGTTGCAAAGGTAGTGTTTAGAGGAAGCAAAAATAATGATGTAATTATACTTGGGAGAAGATCAACAGTGGTGGTGGAGAATGTAAATATACTAAATTCTTTTTAAATTCTACAGATAAACCCTAAAATAAACCCTAAACTTAATAAATCAAGTTATAACAGTATAAGCATATTGCTTAGAAATACAGGGTTAACTATCTAAGGAATACAGGAGTTAAAAGTTGTTCCTTCATGAGAGATTAGAGAAGGAAGTGATGAAGCAAAAAAGGGGCTGCTCCTTTTTATAATGCACAGTAATGGACATTGCTGGTTGACTATCCAGCATCTATCCACCCCTCCTTCCCTCCCAAGAGAACTCTGATTTTGTTTTTATTCATGGAGCTCAAGGGAGGCCAGTTCTACCTAAAACTCCAAGGATAATCCTACTTCTTTTGATTGGGATGCTGGTTTGCCCAGTGGAATGCAAAAGGAAGAGTTCTGGGGTATGGAATGGGGTGTTTTTGAGAAAGGTACCCCTCGCTATTGAGAGAGAACTATAGGGAGATAAGCTCTATCCTCTTCCTGATGGTGTTGCCATATCCAGATAGGTCACCGAGAGCCACTGTAGCCATTTAAGGGTGAGATTCACACTGAGAATAATAAAACAGAGAATTAGAAATAACTCAGGCTTCCTGACATCTGTGAGCTGCTGAATCAACCAACCCTGCCCTCCCTTTGACATACTGTAAACTGAGATCATAAATGCCTATTTTTTTCTCTATTGATCAAGTCTTTTGTTCCTTATAGCCAAAAACATCCAAACTGATGTATAAAGTCCTCCCGTATGGCTTGATTTTCTAAAGTACATGCAAGTATTATATTCATTAAAAATACTTAAGATAAAAACATCATATTTAATGTTACAAATTTTACTCTAGGCATACAAAGTCCTAGCTCTGCATTTCACATCCTTAAAACATTGTGTTTTAAATGATTATCAAGTGGCAACTAAAGTCATTGCAAAAATATGTAAAAGTAAAATGAAAGTCTCTGGTTGTCTCTTGTCTCTGCTACAGGAGTCAATAGCCATTGACATTATGCACCTTTCCAGATACTAGCATGCATAGTTTTTGTGATTATGTATTCTACTAAAAAAATTAGAGCATACTATAGATACTCATCTACAACTTTCTTTTTCATACTTTATGTCATAGATACACTTTCTTGTCTATGAACACATAGTCAACTTATTCTTTTTTGTGACTGTACAGAATTCTGCAGATAGGCCACAATTTATTACAGCTGCATATTATTAATGGATATTTAGCTTGCCTCCAATGTTTCACTAATACAACAACAAAAATGCTACCAGAACCATTCAGGCACATGATTTTTCATGCAAGTATTTTCTAACATTAATTCCAAGATGTCATATTGCTGGTTCAAAGGATGTCATATTGCTGGTTCAAAGGATGTTTTCAGTTGTAATAGACAGAATGGAAAACCTCAACCCCTGAAATGGGTGGTACCATTTTACATGCCCACTAACAATATATGAGTAGCTATTTCCCTGTATCTTTACCAACCACTGATCTTATCGATCTTTTAAAATTTTACTTGATGAAATGGGCAAACATGCTAGTTCACTGTTGTTTTAATTTGACTTTCTCTAATAATTCCCTCTTCTTTTCATATGTTTATTAGTCATTTATGTATTTTATTTGTATCTCTCCATTATTATGACTTTTCTATTTAGCTATTAGTCTTTTTCTTGTTATTGTGTAGTTATTTGTCTCTTTGGGATATTCCTTTTATTATATATGATGCAAGTATTTTTTCCCAGGCTATTGTTTGTTTTAGGTTTTTAACTTATAAGTATTCCAATATTACCCTCCAGGGCTTTAAACACTTGGGTAAGATTATTTATTTGTGTGACCTTTCTCTTTACATTAAAAATAAATCAAAGCAATACCAAGCTATTGAGCAAATTCATATTGAATGCTTACTCTGTACAGTAATCACAGAAGACACTAAGGCGAAAAGACAATCCTGATTGCAAACAGCATCTAGTACAAGAAGCAGATAGACCTATAAAGAAACAATTCTACTCCAGTAAGTTTATAACATAACGTACATTGGGAAAAGGACAGAAAGAACACCTTAAACTACCTATGGATTATCAGGGAAGAACTCACAGAGAAAAAATAATTTTTATTTCTATGAGTTCTTAACTTTTTATACACATCAATTTGACTTGACTGTTGCATTCTTAGTATATACCTGTATTGTATGAATCAAATATAATTCACAACTCCTTCATACACTTTTCTTTTAAAAAATTGTATTCTCAAAAATTTTAATAAATTCTTTCAAATCTATGTATCTTATGCCATTAAATTATATATCTTTAAGGAGCAATTGAAGGATGAGTGTTAGGAATGTGAGAAAGATAATTCCTTTGTTTTCTTTTCTTTCCTTTTTTTTTTTTTTTTTTTTTTTGTTTTTGTTTTCTGTTTTTTGAGATGGATTCTTGCTCTTGTTGCCCAGGCTGGAGTGCAGTGGCACAATCTCGGCTCATTGCAAGCTCGCCTCCCTGCCATTTTCCTGCCTCAGCCTCCTGAGTAGCTGGGACTACAGGCGCGCAGCACCACACCCAGCTAATTTTTTGTATTTTTAGTAGAGAGGGGTTTCACCATGTTGGCCAGGATGGTCTGGATCTCTTGACCTCGTGATCCACCCACCTTGGCCTCCCAAAGTGTTGGGATTACAGGCATGAGCCACCGCACTCAAACTCTTCTGTTTTCTTCAAGCATTCATTCTAATATTTCTACTCTGATTTTTCAATAATCTGAAATTTTTTCATATTTACAGAAATATGAAACACCTAGCACCTTTCTAGAAATAATTACATTCAATTTTCAAGACTAATTTATAAATTCATGTGATTATGAAAAATAACACTTCTTCCCAATTCCCTACACAGCCTCTTCATCCAAACACACTGACTTTTAAAGAAGGAAACCATGTTAGAATGTTTCTTTTAAATCTTTAAAAACTTCCTTTGATCGGCTTCTCCTTTTTTTGACTTTGGCATTTGCCTAGTCTTGCATCATCTATCCCATAGACAACTTAAAATAAAATGGTGAACACACTGCTTATAATATCTCAGTACCTCTTTCACTGTTTAAGTTATTCAGTAAAATTGGTAGGCTACCTTACTATCAACAAGAAACCATGGGGTCTTGAAATACTTGTAACATGTCAGTCCAGAGCCCAGTTCTGTTACTATGACCTTTATAGCATCTGCCATTCTTCTCCACTCATTCCTTACTCAGGTCAGTCTTTTATCAGTATTTATCTGCAAAACACAAAATTTAGTCTCCAAGCATCTATTACTCCATCCCAATAAAGAAAGGGCATAACCTTTGAATGCCCTGAATTTTCTAATAAAAAAAAGTCTAAGTGAATTGGCTCTACCTGTAGTTCTAAGCAATCAGAGATTTGTTTCTAAATAGCTCTGGGGGATTTCACCATATGACTGCTGTTAATGGAAATTGTTGAGCTAATCTCTCCGTGTGACATTACAAATATTAGCTTCCCATCCAAGTTTGTTTGGAACTTTTCTGTATTTCTTTTACTGTTAGAATAAAAGTTGTAAATCTGGAAAGGATTTTCAAGATCAATCAATTCAGCCTTCTAATATTACAGATGAATAAATAGGTTTCTAGGCATTGTTACTGACCGTTAAATAGCTACATTTGAATAATTTAATCCATTGACTTTACAAACTGATGTGGAATTTAGGGAACATGTTTATAGGAATAATCTACATAAAAGATATGAAGTAGTGAGCAAAATTGGACCATGACCCAGGTTACTGAATTCAGTGCTTCAAAAATTTTCTTTTACCCTATAAGCATTATTATTAATGGTTGTGTCAATATTTAGAAGTTGCCCATTTAAAAGATTATATTATGGAGTACATGGTAAGGCTCATCAGAGAAGCCAGCTAAAGGTTCGTTATTATTCATAGGGCTAACATGGTAGAATCATCTCTCTAGAGTGTTTTTTGGTCATGGCTACCAAAATGTAAAGTCTTAACATTTCAGTAACGTCATAAAAATTAGATTTTACAAGTTTTAGCTGAGTGGGTTCCTACTGCAGAGGTTATAATAAACTCCTGTTGGATTTTTAGTGAAGTTAAAACAATTCTGAATAGCTTTTGAATAGAAGATGGCCAAGCCACAAGATATGCAAACAGCCTTGCTTGTATCTGGCATGCCAGTGATTCTCCCGCTCTCGTAACGTTTCAGTACTTCTTAGCCATTTTCAGAAATTAAAATTATTTATAGGTTCAGTCAGTTTAATTAGAAAAAATGAGATTCCTGTGTTTCTTTTAGGATTTTTTTTTTCATTTTCATTTTTGGTATGGAAGAAATTGGCTTTTTTAAAAAACCTTTTAGTAAGTTTTTTATAAATAATATTTTAACACATTACTAGGATTACACAGGCACATGGTGTACTTTGCAAGCTGTTGTTGCCCTTTCAAATGTCTCCTCGGTGGAGAAGCAGCATTTGGCATTCATTCATGTATGATTCAGGATCTTTTGAGTTTATATTTGTGGTGGCCATAGTGACTTAGGTTTTAGCAAAGGCCAAACTATTTCAATTGATATCTTTTTTATCTTTGTCTGTTTAGCTTCTATTCCAATTAAGGTAGACTGTTTTGAAAACCAACAGTTTATACAGTTTGTTTCTTCTCAGGAAGGGGCAAATATGTGACTAAGTAAAAGAAATTCATCAGTATTGGTATTTACATGATCAAAGCTGAAATTTTCTCAGAAAAGAAGTTCTTTCTTAATGTATATATTTCTATCTGGAAAATTGCTTTTTCATCAAAAATTTCTTTAAGAAATGAATGACCATGTATTTAGATTCACAAATATTATAATTGTACATGTGGGAGTTTCTTGTTTTTTTGTTACTTTAGAGGATTTTAATTTCTCTCATTGCCTACAGAACAGATGACTTTCATTTCACCATGTATTGGGTTTTATTATGGTGGAATGATGATTTAATGATTGCAGCATAACTATTCATGTTATTTTTACTTTGTACCTCCTCAGGAATGTCTCATTAAATGACATCAAAGCCTGATTCTGCAATTAAAAAAGCGTTTATATTAACTGGATTTTGAAAAGAGAAAAGAACAATAAAACCACCCCCCAATTCTTCAAACAACAAAAGAGGAAACACAGCAACCCCCTTCCCCAAATTTTGGCATTTGTTCACCTCTTTTAACCCTTGCTTTTTTGTAAAATAACTTATGGAGAAATTGTTGTGAGCAAAAGGTCTTAATTGCAAAAAAAAAAAAAAATCCTTTTAGGAGTGTTTAAAATAAAATGACAGAGTATATTTATGGAGCCTGGACAATGCATCCTTTTCTCATATTTTCCAGTTTTGTAATGCCTAAGTACTCGTCTAGAATCTGAATTTAGTAATGCCAATATTGGACTCTTTCACATACATTCTATAGAGTTATTAGTAAACTCATGACAACCAACTAACCAACCAGGCAAACAAAAACATATTTAGAAACCCAAGCTGTAAGGCACAGCTCATGCACACACACACAAAATTTCATCCCAAAATATGTATGAACTTTGAGGGAACAATCAGCACTCTAAAGCAGCCGAACCCCCTGCACAGTTAGGAATGAGCGGGCTTCTGGCAGTGTCTTTTAAAAAGGCACAGAGATTTGCGTATAGACATATTTCTAGTGCATCAATGACAGGTGGCTCTTCCCCATCTAAGCAGGATGGATGGAGGGAGTTAGGTACAATGGCTTATAATTTTCAAATACTGTAATTTTTTTTGTAAAGATGGAAACCATTATTTTTTAAAAGCATGTGGTTTCAATAGTGCATATTTGATTTATGACTAAGAATTCTTTTTCTCCATGCCATATTAGTACCCTCACTTAATTAAATAGTTTTCTTTTTTGAAACTTAGATTGGACAGAAATCTGTTTTACCAAGGTAGTGAATATGGCTTTGTCAA